>NC_000011.10:33999393-34150909 GCF_000001405.40 Homo sapiens | reverse complement strand
TCCCAGAGCTAACGCTGTTACTCAGGTCTCCCCCCTCTCAGAGCCAAGACCCTACCAAAGCCATTGCTGTGGCCACCCAGCACTCGCCTCTCTCCAGAAACGAAGCCTGGATCCATTCCTCACCCGCCCACGCTCACATTTAATTAAGCACATGTGTGCCACTGAGCTGGACAGACACCAAATGACTGAGGAATATGACACTATCAGGCTTTCCTGATCTCCACTCCCATCCCCTCCACGGCCCTTTATGTGGGAGCTATTTTGGGGGTTGTCTTCAGAGGCACATCCCCAAATGGCACAGCCCACCAAAGTGGCAGCAGGGCCTCCTTCACCCAGGCCTGACCTGGCCTGATTGATTTGAGGGACCTATCCCTGGGTGACTGCTGCCCCCAGGCCCAGCTAAGCTAAGCTGGCTGTACCACCACAAGGCCACTAGCAGAGGTAATGGAGGGAGATGGTGAGGCGCCGACTCAGGTCCAAGAGTGTACTGGAGTTATGGCTGTAGTTTTAGGTGCAAAGTTCAGGCACAAATATAAGTTTTTAAAACATTCCCTGCCAGTTAGCTGGGCATAGTGGTGCACATCTGTATTCCCAGCTGCTCAGGAGGCTGAGGTGGGAGGATCACAGAGCCCAGGGGTTCGAGGCTGCAGTGAGCTATGATCACCCCTGCACCTCAGCCTGGACAACAAAGCAAGACTCTCTCTCAAAAAAAAAGTCGCCTGCCTGCCTGCCTGAAACAGGTATAGAAATTCCTAAGGTCACTGAGAACCTGAACCAAAGTGGCTGTGGGTCAGTGACCGGCCGTGACTCAGGCGTTAGGGGAACGACATAAAGATCCCAGTCCCTGGCAAAGCCCAATTCCAGCAGGAGCTGCGCAGGGCAGCTCGAGGCCCAGCCTGGGGACCTGTGGCCGCACAGACCCATGGTGCCCTCTGGGGGCCACTAGGAGGGGGCGCACTCCCCCACACCATCTTCCTGTGCAGTGGCCCAAGACGGTGGTGGAGCGGGCTGTCCGTCCCCAGCACTTGCCATTCAAAGTGGCTGCCCTTCATGGGTCTGTGTCCAGCGTCCCCACAAGTTCCCCCATCCCTGCAGGACATGCCTTGGTCCGTACCCAGCCTAGAAAGCAAGATCTAGTTGCATTCTGGCTCCAGATGAGGGATCCACCATTTCCTCTCTTGAGAGGGTGAGTGGGGGGTTGAGAGAAAGTGGAGGTAGGAAGGAGGGAGCGGGCCCCTTGGAGCCTGTGGGTAGCAGGAATACATTTTTGAATAAACATTTAAAATTAAAATAATTACCAAAAAAAAGCAGACATGCTTCCAAGGGGCTAGGACTCAAACAGAAATGATCACTTACCCAGGCAGCTGGACCTCCTAATTCCGGGCCACTGCTCACGGCCTGCCCTGCTCCGCCTGCTATGAGCAGCCACAGGCAGGCTTGGGGGAGTTACCCTCTTACTGGAGCCCTTGAGGACCCAGGTGCTGTGAGCATGGGTTGCATCTACAGGGATTTCACTCGGCTCCAGTGGGTCCACAGGCAAGCATAAGCTGGCGCCTTAGCCGTCTCCAAAGAAAACACCTCTCCAGAGGTGGCAGGTACCAGTCTGCTCCTGCACCGACAGGGCTAACACTGAGATTGTCCTTTTTGAGGCTGTCTGGTTTCTTTCCTGCATTCAAATCTTCTCCTGAAGCTTTCCTTTAGGCTCTCGGCCTGGAAGGCCAGTTATCCTTTTCCACATTAGTCCCCGTGCCAGATACCAGGTGGCTAGAGCTTTCTCAACGGAACCAGCCCAAGCAGGAAGCCCCGGCCTCTCCCTTTCAGGCTGCCTTTCAAGTCCGCTTTGCAGGATCCAGATGATGTTTAACTGGAACCAATTGTTTGTAGAATCAAGGGCATGCCCCCTCAGGGGCAATCCCCTGAAATTGTCTATTCCAGCCCAAGGGGCTTCCGACCCCACCCCCTCCTCCAGGCCTGCAGAATGGCTGCGGGTGTTGTAACAGGCCTCAGATAATGAGTCTACATTTTTCCAAGGTGACGGTCACTTATTTCTGCCCCTCCCCCACCTCCCAGCCTCAGCGGCCCCCTTTGTGTCCCGTCTCCTGGTCATCCGGAGTCCTCCGGGACTTCCGGGCCAGATGAGCAGTGGAAGCACTGAAGCAGGCCGGCATTAGCCCCGCCTGGCGAGGGGGTATGGGGGGTGACCATTTAGTAACCTTCTTTGTTCAGGCTTCTTCAGGCTCTTCCCCTTCTGGTGACAGCACTCATGGCTGGCCTATCTGAATTCATTTCGCAAGTGACATTTCCTAAGACAGCCAAGCTTTACAGATGTCACTCTGTCTGGGGGCCAGATGGTGAGGTGTGGGGGAGACATGCCTTTTCAGGTTTGAAGGAGAACCCAAGATCATGACCATAAAATGCAAAGACCCAAGCGTGTGTTTAGGAACACACACTTTGCAAATAAAGAGGCCTTGTCCAAGGATACAGAGATATTATACAGAGCCAGACAAGTCTGACTGCAAAATGCATGCTCTTCGCTGGCCAAGGGAGACTCCTTTTCTAGCTTAGGTTGTGGTTTTATAACATGGCCAGTCCTGGCCAAGTGTGGTGGCTCATGCCTCTAATCCCTATACTCTGGGAGGCCCAGGCGGATCACTTGAGGCCAGAGTTCCAGACCAACCTGGGCAACATATTGAGACTCCATCTGTACATAATTTTTAAAATTAGGCAGGTGTGGTGGTGAGCACCTTCCCAGCTGCTTGGAAGGCTGAGGTGGGAGAATGGCTTCAGCCCAAGAGTTCAAAGCTGCAATGAGCTATGATTGAGCCACCGCACTCCAGCTTGGGCAACAGAGCAAGACCCTGTCTGTTTTCAAAAGAACACCACAGCTAGTCCTTATTGAGTATTCTTAGAGCTGGCATGTAACTGAACTTGAGCGGCTCCTCTAGTTAGATCTGATGAGTGCCCAGAACCCAGAGGCACTTGCTATGTGCCAGGCACTGTTCTAAACGTTTCCCATTCTACCCCACCCACTTCTCACCACAGTCCCGTGACGGAGGTGCTATTCCTACCACTCAAATTTTGCAGAAATGGACCTGAAGGGCAGGTAGGATGAAGTAACCTGCCCAAGGCCACGGTGAGCGTCAGGGCAGAGCAGTCTACCTCCAGAGCCCTCACCTTGCACCCCAAAGCAGAGCCAGCCGGGGAGACTTTGAGGGTAGAGACACTAAACAAAAGCTTCCTTACCTGTAGGATGATATGCCTGGACAACTTGCACAGTCCCATCCAGCTCTGACCATTTGAGCATGTGACTCTGCTTCTGGCCACGGTCTAAGAAAACCCTCTTTGAAAGGCAGGTTCAGGCACCCACCTGAGAAAATAAATAAAAATTATTTTCATGCCCCCTCCCTGCCTCCAGCAAAATTTCCTACAGACCTAACAGAGGTCTGTGGCCAGGAAACTTCAGTCCCAAGAAACGAAAGACCCCTAGGCTCATGTCCTGACAGCCTCGGTGACAAGCCTCAGCAGCCCTAGGGTCGCATACAGAACCTGCTCTTCTCCCTGTGGGGACGAGTCCTAGGAGCTGTATATGAAATACCCTTAGGCTGAGAAGTTACCGTTTCCTTCCCTGTCCTTCTCTGAACCTAGACAACATATCGGGGCTGCAGACTCATTAGCCTGGATACCATTAAACAAACATACCAAAGTATGTGTAAAGCCACCAGGTTACCTCTGTTCCCAACAAATGGAAGGGACCAAGTGACCTGGAAGGAGCTGGGAAGGAAATGAGGCAGTTCTAGCTGGCTTCCAGCCACCACACCAAGCCCCTCGAGGTGACCATAGCCACCTGCCACTTCTCCCGCAGACTCCTGGGCTGGGAAGCCCTAGACACACTGCTCACCTTTGACCTTGATACCAACACCTTCCAAATTCCACCAGGCAGCCAAGACCCACCAGAAGAAACGTCCAGGTGCGTGGATTTCAGAACACTCACAGGCAGCTGATCTTTCTAGAATGTTATTTATTAAAAATAGATTCTCTATCCTTCCCCTCACCCCTGCGAGCAAAGTGGCCTTTCCCAACATCTTTTCCCAAATGGATGAAACAGGTCTTGAGGACGCAGATGTGGCATTCTACATAAACTACAGGATCAGGCTTTTCTGGGACAGTGGGTCTGCTGGAGCCAAGAGTGGAACAGCACAAGACAACATCAGCAAACCCTGGCGCACCTAACCGCGGGCTGCCATGGATGCCGGGACGGACTGGAGTTCCTCCTGCTCCAGGTACAAGTCCACAAAGAGAGACCCAGCGGCCCAGCAGCAGCCTCCTGGGCACCACCAGAAAGCGATGTACTTAAGGGCCTCAGGCGGTCGAGAGGCAACGTGGCTTCCACATGTGTGGGAATGAGACTAAAAAGCTGGCTCAAAGCAAAATATGAACTTATAGGAAAGGAGGGCCCTGGACTGGGCAGGAAGAGAGAGACTCGTGGCAATTCTAGAGATGGCAGTGCCCAGCCATCAAGTTCTAAAGAGACCCATTTGGGAGTGACTCTGCCTTTAGCCAGGTTGAGCTCACAGACACACAGGCCCAGAGGCCGAATTCGCGGCCAGCTTCCAGGTGTGCCGGGGCCTCTCGTTGCTTTTAACAGTCCAGCCAGAGAGGGTTCAGTTAGTGAGAGTATCTTCCCATGATCAAACACAGATGCCCGAGTTTCTCTTCACTATTTCTTCCGCTTCAGTTTCATATCTTTTTTGTTCTTTGTCTCTCTGTTCTTCAACTTCTTGCTCTGTTTGGGTTCTTGTTTGGCCTCTAACTTCCTTTTCTTGTCACTAGAGAAAAATCAAAAATAGAAAGAATGAAATATGTACAGATCTGAACATCTGAGACTGCTTTAAGCTTGCTTTGCTTTGTCAAAAAGGGTTTCCACCGTCTGAAACTTGATGTAGGCCACCCAATTGGACATTAATGTTCTCTGCAAACCTATTAGGGGGCAGGCATTGTGCTGGGGCTGGGGACACACCATACAGACCAGCTCCTGCCCTGAGCCAGCTCTTAGTCTGTGGAAGAACAAATCTCGATCTTAACACCTGAAATCCGGGTTCTCCTCAGGGTGCAGTACACTCTGCTCCCCTCTCCCAAGACAGACCTAAGGCACCACAAGGATTCCCCACCACCACTCTCACCACTGCAGTGACTCTGGAAACTAGACATATTCATCCCAATGACCCTGAAGACAGTCCTTAATACAAGGCATGAGACTCCAAGGAAAACCCTGCCATACTTTCTGATGTGCTACTATTATTTTATTTTTCCTATATGAGAAGAAGAAAACCCAAACAACAGTAACTCAGGTGACACCCTGCGACCAGCCCCTGGATTCTTCATTGATATCCTGGCATAGGAATCACTCAGCAAACGGCCACCTGCCATTAAGAAACTTACAGGTTAAATTTTGCTCTGGGAACAAATACTTCCCTATAAGGAGACCGTGAAGAGTTCAGTCCAGAGACCATTAACATCATATGAATGAAGTACCTCTCAAAGGAAGAAAAAGAAAGGCCTCAGAGGACTTAATGATAGCTACCAGTATTTTTAGCTCACAAAGTTCAAGCTTTCACATTTACTCAGAGCCATCAAGCACATGAACAACCACACAACACTGGTTTGTTGGGCTCGAGAGGCTTCTCACTACCAGCAATGGCCAAACAAATGGCAGGAAAGGCCAAGCTCTGCAGAGTGAGGAGCTGAGGCCGTCTCCACAGCAAGCATGCTCCCCGGCCTTTTGTTCCAGTCAAAGCCACCGTGCTCAAGGCCAAAGCCATCATGGGCCCTGTGCTACATTTGCCATACTGTACAAAACAGAGACAGGTCACACTGACAGTGGGCTTCTGTGCTGCACCACAAAGCATCTGGGAAATGAGGCCGGCATCGATGCTGGATCCTTCAAGATGCCACAGTGACTAACGGAGACTCTGGAAGACAGTACCTGATTTCTGGGATCTATAGTTCCTAGAGACACAAGGTTTCCTCTTCCCGAATGTTTCCAAAATATAAGCTTTTAAGGAAACCAATAAATAGGGGATTGCCAAAATCTCACCCTCCCCATCAACCCCCAAATCAGCTGTGAAAGCCTCAATTCCAGTGGCTCTGGGCAGGGGAGGCCTCATTGTACTCCCAGGGAAAACTGATGAAGGTTCCAGCCTAAGTTATTTACAAATGCACCACTCTGCAGATAAGAAGCTTGGAGTGAAGATTTTCAAAGAGTGGTCTAGGGACTGCTGGGGTCCCTAAGACCCTTTCAGGTGTCCACAAGGTCAAAATGTATTTGGATTAGTATGAAAACAGTTATTTGCCTTTTTTCATTTTCATTCTCTCACAAATATTCAGTTTTCCAGAGAGTATAAGATATGACAGCAAAATAGTGTCAGTGAAGACACAGACATTAGTATCCGGCTGCCTTCTGTTAAGCCAGATATTGAAGAGATTTGCAAAAATGTAAATGTAAAACAATGCCACTCTTCTCACCAAAATTTTTATGAAAAAGAGTATTTTTCAAAACGACTGAGTCCGTTATTACTGTGAACAAATGAATTTTTTTTAAATTTCTCAGTTTTTCATTTATTTTCTTTTTAAAATTTTTTTGCAGAGACAGGGTCTGCTATGTTGCGCAGGTTGGTCTTGAACACCTGGGCTCAAGCGATCCTCCTACCTCGGCCTCCCAAAGTGCTGAGATTACAGGCGTGAGCCACTGCACCTGGCCAGTTTTTCATTTCTAATATGGGAAATTTCCATAGATATAACCAACAAAAGTCCTTTGGGGACCTTAATTGTTAAGAGATAAAGGAACTCAAAGACCCAAAACCTTGAGAACTGCTGGCTCAAAGGAAGGACAACGTAACAGTTAAACCTATGGCCTTGCAGTGGAGAAACCTGGACTTGATTCTGGCTCCGGCTCTCACTAGCTGTGTGCTTCTTGGGAACTTAACCCCTGAGAGCCTTGTTACTTCATCTTAAAGCAATGACAGTAATAAAACAGCCCCCTTATGCTGTCATCCTGAGGGCTGAATGATGAAAGCCCATAAGCAAGTCTCAGCCAGTGGCAGCTTCTGGACTGTTCCCTCAAGCCCTTCTCCATGACAGGCCCAGTGCCCTGGCATGGCTGACAAATACAAAGAGTGAAGAGATCCATGCCTAAGAGATGGCCCTCCTGGTCTGTGGGACATGCACTGCAAGGGTAATGGCCAGGGGACTCTCAAAGGGAAGAACCATGACTTTTCTGTCAAAGCTTTTGCTCCAACCTCCTATTTTCTAGTCAAAGTTAAAGAGAAGCAGAGAGGCCAGAATGCCTCTTCCGCCAGATGCACATCAGACCCTGGGCCCTCACCTTTTCAGGCTGATGATCGAGGCGTTCGGCCCAGCTTTGTTCAAAACTTCATTCCACTCTTCATCGTCCCCACGGATTATGTATCTAAAAAAAAGAAGGGAACTATCAAAGCCTGCTAGAAAGAAGAGGGGACTGCTTAAGAGAAAATAACGACAGTGACAACATTCTTATCAGACACTTCCTGTCATGAAAGCCAGGCTGAGCTGTGTCAGCATTTGAACAGCAGAAAGGACAGAGGGGACAAGCATGCAGGAGGGCCAAGAGACATGGTGCTTAGCTCTATGGATAGAAGCTCCACAGGAGCGAGGGTCACCAGGCCTGCTGGCAGGGGTCAGTGAGGACAGTCCTGCACAGAAGGCAGCCTGCCTGGCTCTTCCCACATGACTCTCATTAACATCCACCAAAGAAGCTTCCTGTCACCCCCACAATCTTCTCACTCACTCCCACCTCCAAGCATTTGTCCACAAGCCCTTGAACTGTGCCTCTCCCCTCCCTCCCTTCTCTTTCAGATTTAGCAGTCCTGGCAAATCAAGGTTTTGATATTGCAAAGCTGAGGGCAAAAACTAGAGCTCGATTCTCTGTCCAAGGACTCCTGGCCACCTCCACCTCACATACCCAGCAGCCACCATCACTAATGACCCAGAAACAGGACTACAGGTCACAGAGGCTCAGAGGCCATGAATTCTGGAGTTATTATTCACATCAATCCAGGCAGTGGAGGGAGAGGCAGCACCACTACAGCTGAAGCACAAAAGGGACTAGGATTCCCAGACGGTTTTAGAGCAAGGGGTGTTTTGCTTGTTTGGTTGGTTTTAGCAGTAGAATCCTTTCTTCAAACAAAGTCACACGTAAAAGCCAAATAGAGTAAGTAACCATTAAAGGGCCTGCTCATCCAATCGGCACCCCCACTCCTGGAAGGACCCGAGGTGTGACCTGGAGCCTTGGGGATCAGAGAGTGCAATGTGTAAGTCAAAGTGGCGGCACTAGTCTCCGGAACCCAACTCTTCCAAAATTATACAAACAGGCAATTAGAAGGTCAAATAGAACTGTTAGCATCCCTAAAACTGATCCCATGAAAGACACTTTCCAGGGCACGTGGGATATGATTAGAAGAAACGTGTAGGCAGATTCTTAGGGCCCCAGAAGCCAAGGCAAACCCTCTGCTTCCCACAAGCCTTACTCAGAGAGGTCCATGCTCTTCAGCTTCCCTACTTCCTTCTTGTGTTTCTCCTGAAATTCCTTTGCTGCTTCATCCTGTGGTTAAGGACCCATAAAGAGACTAAGTCAGAGTCAAGGATTGAACCAAACACAGGAAAAGGTGAAGCTGGGGTGGAATGGCACAATGATGAGAAAACATTTCCTTCTCTTCCATCTACCTGCAAAAACCTTGTAGGCAGCTTTGATTATTTTAAGGTAGCTCTGTTATAAACTATGCATTTAAGAAGTCACCAAAAAAGACAAAACATTTCCAACAGATGCTGGAATCCTACATTCACAACACACACACACAATCAGTGGGAGGCACAACTCTAGGCCTGTGTGTGCTCAGACAATGCTGGGTCCGTTTGTCCAATTAAACCTACAGAATAGCACTTAGCTCAATTAGTGCAGAGGACTCTTTCTAAAGGGGAAGGGGAAGACAGTCTGAATTCACAGCCTAAGGCAACTGATGGAAATGCTGGGACTCCCGAGGCCATGAGCAGGGACATACTAGGTCGTCACTGAGGGTCTTCATCGTGGGCTCCATGACCACATCCTTCGCTGCCACCATCTGCTCCTCAATGGCCTTTTCCTGAACTTCATTAAATAGCTACAAAAGACAACCAACAGAGAAGCAGAAGATGAAGGAGCAGCAGGGACCCAGTCACCCGTGACCCAGACACTTGGTGTCTTATAGAAAGGTGTGCATTTTGAAGACACAAAGCAACACTCTACAGTTTAGGAATGTGGATATTAGCGGGAAGAGCTGAAGAACACAGACTGGATATGTACCAAATTCCTAATAGGGATGCCTCTGGGAGAGGACACAGAACTTCACAGATTCTTTAGAGCTGAAGTCCTGTATTTGCGCGCGCACGTGTGTGTGTGTGTGTGTGTGTGTGTGTGTGTGTGTGTGTGTGATGTGTGATGAGATGCAGCAAACACAGCTAAATGCTAACATGTGTTCTGAAGTCCTGGATTTGTGTGTGTGTGTGTGTGTGTGTGTGACGAGATGCAGCAAACACAGCTAAATGCTAACATGTGTTCATCTCGGGAGCAGGGAGTGGGTTTGTTGCACTATTTGAGAGACATCAAGCCCCTGCCCTCAGGCTGAGGTTACCTTCACAACTTTGCGGATGATCCGGTTGAAAAGTCCCATCAACTGGCCCGAGGGCAGCTCAATCTCCTTTTCCAGCTGGTCCACAGACTTATGCTGCAGGCCAATCCCCAAGAGAAGAGCCTAAAGGATGGAAAATCTGCTGGGTGGGCCTCTAGGACACGCCCTTGCCCATTAAAATGGCGCCAAGAACCAGAGTACTCTCTTGACCAAAGCTATTGGTACAAAGGTAGACTAGCACTGTGTATATTGGCATCTTCTCTTTCATCCTGTTACTGAGACCACCAAGAAATGCTGTCTTCCTAAAATCCCCAAAGTAACTTTTATCCTGACAAATACCTGCTTCACAACTACATTAAAAGTTTGGGATGTTCCTGAACCTCTGCTAAGGTGGAGTTAAGTGTCAAGGCAACGTAGTGGGGTGGAAGCTGCAGCTCTCTCACTTTGTATGGCTGGACACATTACTCGACTTCAGAGCCCAGGTTTCCTGACCTGTAGAATGAGGATGCCACTACCCACCTATCAGATGTATGAGGAATTAAAGGCACACAATTATGTCCAAGTGCCCAACCCAACACCCAGCAAATGAACAGCTCCACAATCCTCGCTTCTCCTCCACGCAAGCAACAGATAGCATACCGACTGAGCCGCAGACAGGGCCAGGTCCCCCAGCTGGTTCAGGAAATAGATGCGAGAGATGGCCGGGATCATGTCCATGATGAGGTGATAGTCCACCATATTCCGTGAATACATCTCCAGCCGCTTCAGGTCATAGGGGAGGAAGAGTGCTTCCAGCTCCTCCCGGCTCAGGGCTGTCCATGGGATAGAGAGCTAGACAGGTTAGGTCACCCGGCGCCCTCATGAGATAGCACACAGCCCCCAGGCGGCACCCTAACACACAGGAGCATCTAACAGGGCCTGGCAGCCATACCACACAGCCCTGGCCCAGAGGGGCACCAAACCTGCTCCTGCCATAGAAGGGGCGGCTCCAGGCCACGTGTGGGGAGGGGACGGCTGCCACAGGACCCTTGCTCAGTTCCCATACTGAACACATGGACCAAGGAAAAGCTCCCTGTGGCCCAGGGTTAGGGGAACACAACTACACTCTTTCCCTGCTTTGTCACTTCATTTGGTGTCACAGAAAGTGTGTAAGCTCTGCCCAGCTCAAGATATACGGATTTCTCCATCAAAATATAATTGGCAAAAAAGTATATACACACACATATACACATATATGCATGCTATACCTAAATATTTATATATAAAATATGCAATAAAACTAATCTCTTACACATTTTTTGTTTTTTAAGTATTCAAACAATCTGTATGCACAAAGCACTTCTGTGTGCTGTTGGCTACAGAAGGCTAGCAGCATATTCTTATTACAATTTCATGAATCAGGAAACTAAACCTCAGAGATGGAGCACCTCACTCCCCTAGAGCACAGATGTAAATCGGCCTCCATAACCAACCAGCTACATGAACTAAATGGACACCTCTGACATTAAATTGCACAGCCAGAGTCTTACCATGAAAATGAAAGACAGCACAGCCTGGGACAGAGCAGGGGCCTGGCAAGCGGGTGGTGACCAGCGAGTGACTGCAGGCTAGAACCAGTCCCTCAATTTCCAGCCCAAACCCTTCCTAGGACACCACACCCACCTCCCACACAGCCAAGCCATTCCCAACCCTCCTCCCTGTCCCCACCCGGCTCACCAGGCTGGGCTGGCTTCCCCATGTTCCTGTTCTGAATGATGTTCAGAGCCAGGGAAGGAGAGAAGGTACTGAACTGGTAGGAGAGCAAGGCTAGGAACCGCCGTCGGAAATCTGTGGGGTGCCATCACGCAGAGTTAGAGGTCTGGAGGCATCCCCGGCAGCCCCCAATCACCTCATTGTCTCCCCCAAACCCCTACTCCTCAGTCACCTTTCCAGAAGGCTGCAAGCCAGCCTCCCTGGTCAGCCTCATCCTCATCAGTGAGCGTCTTCAGCATGATGCACGAGTGCTCTCCGGTCAGGTCATTCTGGGCAACACAGAGGTTTAACTGGCACCAAGAACCCCCTTTTTTTGAATAACCCATCATTGATGAAGGGTAAACACTCAGAGAAGAAAGGCTTAGTGCTTCCGCAGGCCTCTCCTTCTTTCCAGGCTGGGGGTAGGCGCCCTTCTCAAACAGCCCTCGCCTTCACCTTCCTCATATCACCTCAGTTCACACACAACAGCTGCAAAGATCACTGTCCTGCAATCTCCTCAAAAGTGTCACAGACACAGAGAAGAGCTGCTGGCTCTTCTGGGCCTGCCTCTTGCTCGGGACGTGCGGGAGGGAAATATGTGCTCCTCTCAGGTAGATGCTGAACTCAGTCATTAGGGCTTAAGCGCCACACAATCCAGTCAACATGGGTTTGATGCCTCACAGCAGGAACTCCAGGGCCAAAACCTACACCTCAGTGCTGGCAGCCAGTCTGCAAGTGCAGGCTTCTTTAGGTGTTAAAATTGTGACTATTTTTACATTTTTTACTCCATAACAACAAAGCCCCACACCATAAAAACACCACCAAGTCACAAATGAACAGTGCACAGTGCAAGACCACACGGACACACCGCAGACCACACCACAGCTCACTAGCTTGCGTTCTCCTTGCAGCTGACAGCCAAACTTACATCCTCAGCCTCCACCAAATGTACTGACAGAGACTCAACCCATCTCTGCAGCTCCCTGCCTGCACGGAAGCAGCCCAACACCCAGCAGTCCTCACCAGTCCCACTTTAAACCCTCGGACGGACACTGGACACTAGCCTCTGATACTGACTTTGCCCTCTCCAAAATCAAACCTCCAACACTTCCCTCTCAGCCGATGGACTCCCCTCATCTGGGAAGACAGAAGCACTCAGAAGACAATGTCTTCATCCTCCCAACCCCAGATCAGCCAGCCAACTGATGCCTTCCATTCCCACGCTCTCTGCCTTCCCTGTTCCGAAGGATGAAGTAGGTGGTCACCTCTCTTCCTGAATCTCGAGTCCCACCCACCACCTCCTCAAGGCCTGCACTCTGGCAGTCAGCCCCCCTCACCCATACCACTAATTGCAGGATCGAACCCAGCAGCAAAAAACATTCTCTAGAATCTCCCATCGGACAATCCTTCTTTAGCGCCCATCTCCCTCCAGCGACCTTGTTTCTCTGCTCCCTTTCGCTTCCTGAAAGAGTCGCCTGTTCCCCTTCTAGTTCTTCACCTCCTCTTCCCTCTGGCCAGGCCAAAGCCTCCACTCCACTGCAGCTGCTTCAATGCAGCTCACCGCTGCTGACAAATCCAATGGCCAGCTGTCCTCATCCTCCTCATCCTCTCAACAGGGCTGACTCCCATTCCCACTTTTTCACCTTGACGTGTGACACCACACCCGACTTTCTCTTGCGCATCAGGGCTGTTCCTTCTCAGTCTTGTATGTGCTGTGTCCTCCTCTTCATTCCTCTAAACGTTAGGGTCCAAGGAGTCACTCTCACATCCTTTCATTGGCTCCAGATATTTTTCATTCACTCAACAAAAGTATTTACTGAACACAAACTACACAGCAATTGCTACTCTAAGTGCGAGGAATACAGCAATGAACACAACAGACAAGAGCTCCGTGCCCTCCTGCAGTGCATTCTATTATGAATATGCTGATGGCTCCCAAAGCTCCATCTCTAGCCCCAAACTTCCCTACCTCCAAATTCCTGTAGTCAAATGAATGCCTAGTCCACATTTCCACTTGGATGTCCAATAGGCATCTCATATTAACATCAAAAAAGAACTCCCACTCTTCCCTCCAAATCTGCTCCTCCTGCAGTGAGTCCCATCTCCGACAGCACCTCCAACACCCAGTTTCTCAAGCCAAAACTCTAGGAATTACCCTTGATCCTCCTGTCCACTCTCCTTTCCCAGAATCTGATGAACAAGTCCACGTGTACCTCTGCCATTTTATGACTAAGCTCAACGCATGCACCGTGTAGTCGGAGAAGAAATGTGTGATGATGTGGCCTGTCACTGAGGATGGCTGTTTCCATGTCCATCAGAATAAACCTCTTCAGAGGCACAGCCACCTGCTCAGAGCGATGCAGCAGGGAGGCACTAGGGCTCTTTGCAAGGACAGGCCTGTCACCTACCATAACGGTAAACCTAAACTTCTCCTCTGCTGGATGCCTCACTCACCGGGGTCTGTCTCAGATAAACAGGAACAAATCCAGCTCGTTTCCAGAACCTGCAAAGATACAAAGACAGTAGGTCACTGTGTGTGGCCTCTGGGGAGTGGCTGATAGACACACAAGGGCAAGAGCCAGGAAGAGCACGCCACAAATAGCAGGCTAGCACCGATACCAGCTACCAACAGAGACACACAGCCCACAGAACTCTTCTTTCTCAATGCCAAGGAGTGATGCCGTGGAAGGAGGGCAGGCACTTACTTGAGGAGCCTGGGGGTCAAGCCATAGGAAACACCCAGGTAATCCAGGCGTTCGGCAGGCCTCTCATTCAATTTGAGGAGTAAAGGAGGCAGGTCCTTCCGGGGAGTGATGACCTCTTCCAACAAGCTGACAGCCTGGGAAGATGCCAAGGAGAGAACACAGTCCATTCAGCAGAGGGAGAGAGACATCGTCAAGCACCCTGCCGCAGCGCACTCTGGACTTAGCACAACAAAAACTGGGAGAGGTTTCTTGGTTTATTGCTGTGGTTTTCAAACTATGAGAACACCGGAGTCAAGCAATCATTCTCAAAACACCTCAACATGCATAGAATCACACTGCTTCAGACCTCTAGAATGCAGGAAGACAGCCAAAGAGTTTAGAAACGACTGACAGAGGCCGGGAGTGGTGGCTCATGCCTGTAATCCCAGCACTTTGGGAGACTGAGGCGGGTGGATCACCTGAGGTCAGGAGTTTGAGACCAGCCTAGCCAACATGGCAAAACCCCATCGCTACTGGAAATACAAAAATTAGCTAGGCACGGTGGTGTGTGCTTGTAGTCCCAGCTACTCAGGTGGCTGAGGCAGGAAAATTGCTTGAACCTGGGAGGCAGAGGTTGCAGTGAGCTGAGATCACGCCATTACACTCCAGCCTGGGAGACAGAGCAAGACTCCATCTCAAAAAAAAAAAAAAATGCCCAACAGATTTACAAAGGGACAGGCAGGCTCCTGTGATCCAGCATGAAGTCCAGGTTCTATCACCTGACAGCCTTAGGAAGTGACAAACCTCTGAGCTTGAACTTTTTTTTTCATTGCTTGAGACAGGGTCTGGCTCTGTCACCCAGGCCAGAGTCCAGTGGCGAGATCACAGCTCACTGCAGCCTCAACCTTGGGGTTCAAGCAATCTTCCCACCTCAGCATCCCAAGTAGCTGGGACTACAGGCGTGCACCACCATGCTCGGCTAATTTTTGTATTTTTTGTAGAGATGGAGTTTCGCCATGTTGCCCAGCTGCCTCAACTTAAATAAAAGCCCCTTGTCTAGCTCTCAAATATACATACTATGAAAATCAATGAATGCACATGAAAGGCTGTCACAGTTACTAGTATTAGTCATTCTTATCAAGGAATGACAGAACTTCCCTTAGTCTGGTGTAGGATGAAAGAGATTATAGAGCAGTGATTCTCAAACTTGAATGAGCATCAGAATCACCTGAGAATCTTGTTAAACTACAGATTACAGGGTCTACCCCAGAGTTTCTGATTCAGTAGGTCTGGAGTGGGGCTCAAGAATTTACATTTTTAACAAGCTGCCAGATGATCCCAATGATACTGATCTGAGGATCTAAAGTGTTCGGTAGGAGAAAGCAGCAGAAGAAAATGAGAGAGGGGTCCAAAGCTCTGGACTGGTTTTTGTTGATGCCCCTAAAAACCCAGAGAATTATCCTCCCAAGAACCAGGACACAGGAGGTCTGTCGAAAGATGCTTACCTCGCTGCTTACGGTGTGAATTTCCTGTGGTGTCTCAAGGACCTTTTCCTCCAGACAAGGAAACCTGCCTTCATAGTACATCTGCAGCAGCTGCAGAGCACGGCTGCCATAGCCCATCTAGGAGCAAACGTGAAGGGGAAGAGGCCGAGGGAAGAGAGCTGCTCTCAGTCTAAGCCACAGTGACTCCCCTGCATTGCTTCTAGAGAACCTTCCCTCCCTGTCAAACAGCACGGGGCAAGAGAACCAATGAAAACCCTGAGTGAGGTCAAAGCAGAGACACTTAAGACTGAAAGTAGTGTGACCCGAGTTCTTAACACTGGTCTAGCTCATCAAGAACAGCCACTTGAGGGTAAGGATGGCTGTGCTTTCTGGTCTCCAGATGGGCAAGCCCAAATGAGAGGCAGTTTCTGTACCATTGCCTGAAAAGGAAGTTTCTACAGCCAATTACTCAGTGAGGTGTTCTAAGAAGGTAATTTTGTTATGCAGGTCTGGTTCACAAGTCCTCGTTCTCACAAAGGAAGAGTGAGCATATGCCATCATCCTGTCCACCCACCCACCCCGAACCCTGGCTCAATTCTCCAGAGCAGGGAAGTGCCTACACTTCACTTGCTTCTGCTTGACCAGCTTCTTATTCCAGCCACCAAGTACCCCCACCCTAAAGCACCGCCAGCAACACGGCTTCAGGGGAGCCTGAGGACACATTACCCCTTGATAATCTGGGTGAACAGCAATGCGAACGACCCTTCCACCAGACAGACCACCAAAGTCTGGATCTTGGAACTGTGTGGGAGACACAAACCAGTAACTTAGCAACACAGACATCTTTGGACACCACCAGCTTCCCTCAGACACACCAGGGAAAGCCCGTCACCTGTTCTGACACTGTCCATGGAATCAGGTCCCCTGAAGCCTTCTTGCCTCGAGACAGACTGTTCAAGATGGACTGGCGAGAAATCTCCCCTTCAAGGCACACCTGTGGGGGAAGCAGGACAGTGCAGGCAGAAAGGCCAACTCTGATACAGAGCCCACTCACAGAATATAGCTTGTTTCTCGAACTAGGCCAGTTGTTTCCACCCCCATGTTCAGGTTTAACCCTGACACTGACACATCCATTCCCCCCGCTCTTTTGAGATGGAGTCTCACTCTGTCGCCCAGGCTGGAGTGCAGTGGTGCTATCTCGGCTCACTGCAAGCTCTGCCTCCTGGGTTCATGCCATTTTCCTGCCTCAGCCTCCCGAGTAGCTGGGACTACAGGTGCCTACCACCACACCCGGCTTATTTTTTGTATTTTTTTTTTTTTTTTTAGTAGAGAAGGGGTTTCACCGTGTTAGCCAGGATGGTCTTGATCTTCTGACCTTGTGATCCGCCCGCCTCGGCCTCCCAAAGTGCTGGGATTACAGGCGTGAGCCATGGCGCCTGGCCTGACACATCCATTCTTAACAGGAGCTTAATTACCAGGCCCCATGTTACAGGGCAGAAGACTGACAGCCTCCTGACCCAAAAAGTAAAAGCCACATTAGAAGAGAGTCTCTATGTATGCTGTGCGTGTGTGAAGGCCATCAAGACACAGGATGCTCATGAGGCTCTGTACAGAACAGCACAAGTTCAAAATAACTAAAATGTCTAACAGGTGAATGGTTGAACAAATCATGGTACATGTATATAATGAAATACTACACAGCTTTAAAACTTATGTAGATTATGAGTGTTTTATACACTGCCTAAAAATAAAAGCAGATTACTATGTATATGAAAAGGAAAAGTGATATAGAAATGCATAAATACATCCATGCTAGGCATTAAAAATTTGTTCCCCAATCTGTAGCCTCTAATTCAAAATGCACCATGTATTGCTTTTGTAATAAAGGGAGAAAACAAACAAGTCTGTTTGTGGAAGAAGCTGTGAGTCAAAATAAGAGAGCGGTCGGTTCTGGCTTTTCCCCGTCCGTCAACAGTGGAGCTTTGGGTGTCTAGTGGCGCTAACCTCTTCCAGTGCACCCTAGTCACCTGTCTCAGCAGACCCAGCCCCTTGGTTCCAGACCAGGACTCCACAGTTTCAAAACTCCCACAATGCAGTTATTAAGCCACTAATTCCTGATGCCTCAGTGGTTCCCCAAATCACTGCCACAAGGACGCCTCTGCTCCTATACCTGGATAACAGCAAGCACTTCTGGAAGGGCATTCTGGGTGGGGGGCACGGGAGGCAGAAGGCAGAAGAGATGGTGAGCAGGTGCATCGGAGAGCATCTGGAGATCATTGGGAGAGTTCTGTGGAAGCCAAACACGGGTCAGTGAGAAGCACTCTTCCTCTTGCCCTTTACGCAAAAGGTTCGATTCAGAACCACAGGATGACTGCAGTATGGCCTTCTCCAAAGCCAAGTGAGGAGCAGAAGTCCAGCAAAGCACCTTTCTAGTATTTTGGCAAGCCTGAGACTCTTCATAACAGGTTAAGTGGAACTTAGCCTCAAATGCCTACTGTCCTCTCACCCCGAGCACTGAGGCTGGACAGAAGAAGAGAATTTATTTAGCACTACTTATTTCACAGCTAGGAAGTGAACTTTTTACAGATAAGAGGCTGCTATTTCAGGAAAAACTGTCACCACTTCTAACACCAACTCTTCAAGCCTTCCATTAAAAGCTGTTCATAAAAATACTATCTAGACATTCAAAAAGTATCCTTTTTAACCAACCCTTTTGTTTTTAAGAGTCTCAGATATTCTAAACCCTCAAATTCACTGTTCCATAAAAGTAGCCCAGAGCTATAAAGCTGGTCTCAGGTCAAACTGCACCACCGGGCCACAACTGCAATGTCACCTCATCCTATCAGTTTAGTAGGCAGGCAAGAAATGAAAGCACTCCTTTAAAAATGGACACAGCTTTCCACCCTGTCCCGTTACTGCATGGAGCTACATGCTCTATACCTACACACAGCAAGATCAGTGGAACTCATCAATGTCCCAATGGAACAGTCACCTAAGCCATTGGGTAATAAAATATGCAAATCAAGTAAAAGGGGACTGCCAAATGCTGAAGCTCCCTGCTACCATTCACACAAGGGCTAGCTGCAGTTACCTTGTAGTGAGAAGCCACGTAGAGGGCCATAAGCCGTTGGAGGAAAACTTCAGAGGCCTTGTGGTAGCAAAAGAGGGTATCTCTATTAACATAGTACCTGGGTCTGGAGTTAAGAAACCAAAACAAAACAAATAGCCGAAGACAGGTCATACTACTCTCTGGAGGCAGAACAAATTTCCGTAGCTGGGAACAGGAGCTCAGTGTCCTAAGCAGAAACACATAAAAGAAGGAAGAAGAGGGCCAGGCGCGTTGGCTCACACCGGTAATCCCAGCACTTTGGGAGGCTGAGGCAGGCAGATCACAAGGTCAGGAGTTTGAGACCAGCCTGACCAACATGGTGAAACCCTGTCTCTACTAAAAATACAAAAATTAGCCAGACGTGGTGGCTGGCACCTGTAATCCCAGCTACTCAAGAGGCTGAGGCAGGAGAATCACTTGAACCCGGGAGGCAGAGGTTGCAGTGAGCTGAGATTGTGCCACTGCACTCTAGCCTGGTGACAGAGCGAGACTCCATCTCAAAAAAAAAAAAAAGAAAGAAAAAAAAAAAAGGAAGAGAAAAAGGAAATTGAAAATGTTCAACTTTCCCCTTTCTCTAGAGCAGCATCCTATGAAACAAAGGACTCAAGTCCTTTGAATTCTTTCACCGCCCCTCTCCTTTTCACAGGGCCAGTGAAACCCAGAGGAGGATACAGTTCACAAGCTTCAGGCAAGGGGCAGCCTGAGACTATCCGAGTGATGTTGAGGCAATCCAGGCACAGCAAGTCATTCAGCCACTTCTCCACTGCATCCCCAGGGGCGTATCGGATTGACTCCTGGAGGGAAACCTCATACAGTGTCCGCGCTGCTCCCCACAATCACACACACAAAAGAAGAAACAATGATTAAATATGTATTGTCTAAAAAAGCAAGGAAAAATGTTTCACTTTATATTTGTCCCATGGTGGCCAGAGACGTGTGGTAAGAATTTAAACTGGGTGGTTTAAAATTGTTTTTGGTGGATATTCAACTTGCCACGATACCAACCCCAAAGGGATCTCAATGCAACCATGCCCTGAGACAAGGACACACAAGGGCCCCACCATCAGAAGGCCCTAGTCTGGCTCCCATCTGGTCACTGGACTGCTGTTCCTCCGAAAAAAGCTACTTCTCCTCTTGGGGACTCAACCTCTCAGCCTGATGGTGGGAAGGTTTGGTGCTTCCCATGATGTCACAGGGGAAGCGAGGATCAGTAAGACTGAAGGGCCTTGCTGTGAACCGCGGGACCCGGGTCAGGTTCTGGGGTACCTGATGCCAATCTGGCTGTCGTCGTGGTCTTATTCTCAGCAGTGGTGCTGACCTGGCTCTGGGCGCTCTGTTGACGGAGCTGCTGAATTAGCTTGAGGGACAGTGACCGGCCAGTGCCCTCATAGCTAGAAACAAAGGCAAAAGGAATCAGGCACAAGGTCCCAAATCCACTGTCTAGGAGGGGACAGAGAGCTGCTTTCCTCCACCTGCTGAAACACCAGACCCCTGCTTCCCCCAGGACAGCCTTGCTCATCTCTGAACTTCCAGCATAGCAGGCACCTGTCCAAAGGAGGCAGGGTGGCACGGTGGCTGAGCTTGGGGCCACCCAGGCCTGGGCTCACGTCCTGGCTCATCTACTTAGTATCTTTGGGCAAGGAGCTGAATCTCTTTTCGCCTCATCTTCAAGAGGGGATTATTCTATACACCTCACAGGACTGTGATGTGAACTTAAAAAATAAGGACTGGAAAAAGGATGTAAGTAAAGCCTTTAGCATAAAGGCTTTAGGCAGTTTTAGTGAAGCTGGAACAAAGTTAAATGGTCAACTAACGGAGCTGCTTTTAGAAGTACGGTGCATAAGGAAATGAACTGAGAACATTTCCAGTTTGGAAAATAAAACAAATCCACCACCTCAGTAATTCTTTTCATTGCTATGCCCACTTATAAGGTGACATAAAATAGCTAAAAAATGTTGAGAAAAAAATTAAATCACCTATAATCTGATAACTCAATCAGCTTTCATTGTTGAGTTTTCTTCTCCTTGTCTTTAGTCACAGGCATATGTCACCACAGGGTACACACAGCACTTTTCATTACATCATTTCATAGTACTCATTATTATATTCAAAGACTGTAAAATACTTCCTCTTACTCAAATAATGATAAAAGCTAGATGTTTTATGCCCACTCTCCACACCACATAACAAAGCTCTCCCAAAAGTATCCTATTTATTTATTTAAGAAAAAAGAGTAAGCACAAGCAACAAAACTTCAAAACTTTTGTCGTTAAAAGACATTATTATAAAGAAAGTGGCCGGGCATGGTGGCTCATACCTATAATCCCAGCACTTTGGGAGGCCGAGGCGGGTAGATCACCTGAGGTCAGGAGTTTGAGACCAGCCTGACAAACATGGTGAAACCCCGTCTCCACTAAAAATACAAAAGTTAGCCAGGCATGGTGGTACACACCTGTAATCCCAGCTACTCAAGAGGCTGAGGCAGGAGAAATGGGTTGAACCTGGGAGGTGAAGGTTGCAGTGAGCCAAGATTACACCACTGCACTCCAGCCTTGGCGACAGAGTCAGAGTCTGTCTCAAAAAAAAAAAAAAAAAAAAAAAAAAGAAGAAGAAGAAGAAAGTGAAAAAACCCATAGAATGTGAGAAAATTTTTGTAAATCATATCTGAAAAGGGACCTGGTATCAAGAATATATAAAGAACCCTTACAAATCATTAATAAAAAAGACAACCCAATTGGAGAGATGAACAGAGGATACGAATACACATTTCTCCAAAGAACATACGTGAGTGGCCAATACGCACATGTAAAGATGCTAATATCATTAGTCACCAGGAAATGCAAATGAGAATTATAACGAGAGGTCACTTCACACCTATTAGAATGGTTATAACCACAAAGATACATAATAAGTGTGTGAGAGGATACAGAAAAGTCAGAACCCTCATACTGCTGGTGGGAACGTAGAATGTGCAATTGCTTTGGAAGAGTCTGGCAGCTCCTCGCATGGTCTAACATAGAGTTAGCCCAATAGTTTCACTCCTAGGTGTATCCCTAAGAGAACTGAAAAACATGTCCACGCAAAAATCTGCACGCTAATGTTCAAAGCAAGATTATTAATAATATCCAAGAGGGAGAAATAACCCAAATGTCCACCAACAGATAAATGGAAAAATAAAATGTGGTATATCTATACAATAGAATACTATTCAACCATAAAAAGGAATGAAATACTGATACATGCTACAAGTCAGTCATGGAAGACCACATATTTTATAATTCCATTTATATGAAATGTCCAAAATAGGCAAATCTATGGGTACAGAAAGTAGATTAGTGACTCCCTAGGGTTGGGGGGTGTGGAGGAACTGGAGGAGGATGCACAGGCTTTCTTTATGGGGTGATAAAAATGTTCTAAAATTGGTTGTGGTGAGCACGGTTGCACAACTCTGTGAACATACTAAAAACCATTAAATTACACATTTTAAATGGATAGATAGTACAGTATGTGAGTTATATCTCAATAAAGCTGTTTGAAAAGTAAAAATCCATTTTATTTCAGTATTTTCAGTGTAAGCAAAGCAGTCACAATAAATCTGCATACAGAATAATCTCTTCAAGATGTGATTTCTATACAGAAATCTTCCCAATATTGGAGATACATATTTACTGACCTCAAAAGATTTCACAATATTGTTATATTCAAAATGCAAATTAAAAATGTTTTTCTTGTTCAAATGAAAAAAGTAAAATAAATGCAGAGAAAATGTACATCAAAATTCTAACAAAATCTATCTCCAGATGGTTGAATTACAGGTGATTTTTCTTTTTTTTTTTTTTTTGTTTTGTTTTTGAGACAGTCTCGCTCTGTCGCCCAGACTGGAGAGCAGTGGTGCAATCTCGGCTCACTGCAGCCTCCACCTCCTGGGTTTAAGCAATTTTCCTGCCTCAGCCTCCAGAGTAGCTGGGATTACAGGCACGCGCCACCAGACCCAGCTAATTTTTGTATTTTTAGTAAAGATGGGGTTTTACCATGTTGGTCAGGCTGGTCTCGAACTCCTGACCTTGTGATCCGCCTGCCTCGGCCTCCCAATGTGCTGGGATTACAGGTGTGAGCCACTGCACCTGGCTACAGGTGATTTTTCTTTTGCTTACCTGTTCTAATTTTTCAATAGCCAACACTAAATATTTCTAATTAAAAAATTAAATATTTCAAATTTTAAAAAAAGTCATTATGAGCTTGCTTTCTTATGATAATTATAGTACTTTAATACTGTATTTTCTAAGATATAAGATATTGGTATCACCATCCATGTATTTTTCAACATTTTATCACACCTACAGACAGAAGCAGACACTCAGCACATCAGACTAAAATTCTTCAGTCTTACACTGCCCATTTCATGTCGGGCCAGAGACGTGTAACAGTTCATTAAGAGACCAGTTTCCATTTGCAGAAGCCCAGTAGAGAATGAAGCAGCCTCAAACACTCAGAGACTCTGAGAATCAGACTTGGCTGTCCAGGCCCAGGCCACATCCACTACATGCCCCTAAATCTGCAAGAGCCTGCCACGGGAGTAAGGACTCCTGCCCACAGTACCTTACCCATTGATGGTGGATGCCATGAAAACAAGGTAGGGGCCAAGTAGGCTCTTCACCAAGGGGAGGGGGATGGCGGCAGCTTCATCAATCACAACTAGTTCAGCCTGGCCCAGCTTCACAGCATCTGCAGGATGTATATACTATGGGGAAGGAAAATTTAGATTATTAGCATAGTGAACTCATGTCACAGCTGTGATTACTGGCGACTCATCATAAAGGATGTTCTCTTTCCTCTCTCTCCCTGTTTCCTTCTCTCCTCTCATTCCTCCTTTCTACTTTTTCCTGGCAGGGCAAAAATGGGATGGGCTTGGAGTCAGACACCTGGGTTCAGAGAGTTCGGCCACTGATCATATGACCTTGGACAAGTCACTTAATCCCACAGTGCCTCAGACTCCTCCTCCTGTAAAATGAAGGAAATACCTATCTTATGGCTGCTTGAAGGAAAAATAAAGCAGGTATATAAAGATGCCCTGCCCAGTGCCTGACTCACAGTGCTGAGAGATAGATGGTGGCTCCCTTTCCTTTCTCTCCTTTGTCTCCTCACGTTTTCCCCCAGCCTCAGATAAGGAAAGCCGATGAGCTCGAGGCATAGCTCGACCCCAGTGGTGGCTAAAGAGGAGGATGTCGGATTTCTCATGCCGGGCACTGTGCTCCCTGCTCTGATGGCATGATTACAAGGGCCAAGTCTCCCTGCACTGACGGACATTTCTAGAACTTGTTATTTTCTTAATACATAAACACTTACATATCTTTATGCATACAAACAACCTCTTCAGTTTCTTCAGGGCTTCCTGCTAATTTTAAAGTGGTTTGAAAAGCAATGAAGAGGTATCTTATAGGAAACCTGAATAACCAATTAACATAAACAAAGATATTCAACCTCAACAATAATCAGTGAAATGCTAAAGACAGCAGGGAGATACCATTTCACAAAACTTAAATAGCTGTTAAAACATCCAGAGTTGATGAGGTCTTAGAGAAATTAAAACTCAAATGAATGCTGGCATGGGGGTAAACTGGTATAAACACTTTGAAGGAGAATTTGGCAAATTTTAAGCAAGCTGGAAAACTACACAATCCTAAAACCCAACAACTCCACTTTGAGAAACATACATGTAAATATAATTTACTCATATAATACCTAAAGATCAATCAACCAGATCTACAAGCTTTAATCTGCATAGATCTTGAAAACAAATGTTAAAAAAGGAAAGCTGAAGGAGGACAAGTACAGTATGTTTCCACTTATGGACAGATAATTACGTAGTAAACATAGAAACACATGAACTGAAAGGACACACACCAGTATCAGAACTAAGTCACCCATGGGGAGGGACAGAAGGAAATAGGATGGAAAGGGGTTGAGGGACTTCAACTGTATTTGTGATGTTTTAGTTCTTTAAAACAAAAATCTAAATGACATTTGAAATATGAAACAAACACAGCAAACATCAAAATGTCAACAATACTTAAACCTGAGTGTTGGGTGCCTGAATGTTATATTGGTCTCTGCACGCTCCTATACATTTGAACTATTTCATTACAAATAAGATGTTCTGCTTTGCTACAAGCTGATGGGCCAGGGAGGCGGCAACCCCACCCATTTCTTTTTTTCATTTTTTGAGACAAAGCCTCACTCTGTCGCCCAGGCTGGAGTGCAGTGGTGTGATCTCGGCTCATTGCAACCTCTGCCTCCAGGGTTCAACCAATTCTCGGGTTCAACCAATTCTCCTGCCTCGGCCTCCCGAGTAGCTGGGATTGCAGGCGCATGCCACCACGCCTGGCTAACTTTTTTAAATTTTAGTAGAGATGGGATTTCACCATGTTGGCCAGGATGGTCTCCAACTCCTGACCTCAAGTGATTCGCCCACCTCAGCCTCCCAAAGCGCTGGGATTAGAGCCATGAGCCACCATGCCCGGCCAACCCTGCTCATTTCTAGCAGCAGAATGTACATCCTCAACAGGGCCCCAGATCTTGTCTTCTTCAAGGGAAAAACTAAACAAGCATCTCATAAAAGCAGCAGAAAGCAGCCCCCCAGGGGAGGTGAAGCCAACTTTTATCTAATATTCTTCTTTTTCTCAATCTTGAGCCCAAAGAGAGGCCTGAAAGGTACACAAATGGAGTCTCATAAAGTAAGGTCACCTCCTCTGTGCTCACACTGGAGACAAAAGAACTCTGGTAATATGAGAGAGTATTTGATTACAAATTCAAGAAGGAGCAAGGCCCGAGGCAGGGTATTTCAGGGAAATGTTTTCCTTCTTTGGTTTGTGTATTTTTCTTGAGTTTTAACAGGTCTCCGTGTTCTCATTGCCTGCAGCCTGACCCTCACCAACAGCAGCCTTTCCTCCTCCCAGCTGGGGGAATCGAGCAAAAGTGAGCAGAAATGTACAGAATGAAGAGATTCTAGAAAGAGGCTAGTAAGAAAAAATTAAGGTGAAAGGCATAAACACTTAACATTGTTTATAATCTGGCCTCTGATAAAAAGGTATAACTTCTTGACATGCATATACATATGCTTTGACAGGCATAAAGTGCTAGGGTATAAACTGCCAAATTCACCTGGCTCACTTCCCAACCCAATTCCAAAAATAATCAATGAACCTCCTCCAGTAAGAGCCCATTAGTCTCAGTCCGTCTGTAAGCCCATCACCTCATGCCTCTCTTAGAGATTTAGCAAAACTGCAGCCTTTGGACAAGTGCAGACCATTCAGGCTTACAGAGTGCTAGAGATTTTTAGAACTTTTGGGAAAACACTGTTTAAAAAAGAAAATAGGCCACTGGCTAAACCACAAAGATTCAGAGCACATTTTGCAAAGTTCTTTTTTTCATTTAAGCTGTAAGGTTATTGTTCTAGTTACAGATGCAACATTTCAAAAACTGCAATAACTAAGCAAAGTTAGAGCTGATGTCAGAAGAAAGATTCTCTTTTAGTTAATCAGCGTACTTTCCACCCCACTTATTCCATATTCAAAGGACAAAAACACAACTTTTCAATCTAACTACATATATTTGTTAGTTTGCTGAATGTTTTTCTTTAGAAGAGTCTGAAAATCTGGAACAGGTTTAGCATACAACACCACCATTGTCTAAAAGACATGCAATTACACAAGACATACATGTCTATAACAGGAAACATCTTAGAGCCAGTTAAATACAGCAAGACACTGGCCCTGCACATCAGGGTCTGAGAACAAGCCTCACCTGAATAGTCTGCCTGTGTTCTCGAAATACATTCACTCTGATCACTGCTTTGTTAAATTCAGGATTTAGAGACTGGATAATCTCATAATCCAGATGTTCCTGGTGGGGAGTCAAACCAATGACAAACTTTAGAAACAAGTTTCAGAAACTAAATATTATGAAAGTAAGCAAGTATTCTAAAGACTTCACTTGGATTTAAACCCAGCACTGTATCAAAATAAAAATCCTTTTTTTTTTTGAGATGGAGTTTCGAGCCCAGGCTGGAGTGCAGTGGCGTGATCTCAGCTCACTGCAACCTCCGCCTCCCGGGTTCAAGCGATTCTCCTGCCTCAGCCTCCCAAGTAGCTGGGATTACAGGCATGCGCCACCACACCCGGCTAATTTTGTACTTTTAGTAGAGACGGGGTTTCTCTATGTTGGTCAGGCTGGTCTCCAACTCCCGACCTCAGGTGATCCGCCCGCGTCGGCCTCCCAAAGTGCTGGGATTACAGGCGTGAGCCACCACACCAGGTCCAAAATAAAAATTCTTAATCCAAATTTCCTACCTGATATTGCAGAGCATCAAATCCTTTAAATACAAATTCAAACAGAGTATGGAGGTTATCAGGGCTTGGGGAGGTAACAAAGATATTGGAGTACCTACAGAACAAAATAAAAGAAGGATTTTTAAGAAATTAGGAACATCTTAAAGAAACAATTTAAAAAAGAAAATATTTTTGTTTGCTCCTGTCCCAAAGGTGATAACCAGAGGTAACAGCAAGGGAAAAAGTCAGGACACCTTTTGGGAAGGAAAGTAAAGCAACTCCAGACATTTAGCTACCAACATCTGTGAAAGCAAGCTGCTTAGAAGCACTGTGGAGACAACGCCCTCGGTGTGCAGAACAGACAGACTGCTTCCCAATCCAGTGCACTGCTACAAGAAGTAGTTTCATGCTCATCACTAGCTGTGCTGACGCTTTCAAATGGTGAAGCTGGGGAGCTCAATCGGTGCTCAGGCCAAGGCCAAAGCTAACCTCCAAGTTAGCTTTGCCTTGCTGAGTATAAAGGATGCTAACAGCAGATGCTAATGGCTAAGAGGCTGACTGTTACAGCTAGAGCAGCAGGAAGAACGAAGGACAAGGAGTCAGGAGCTAAGCTCAAGCCCCAGCTCTATCAGCACTGACTTGCTGGGGGATCTTGGGTAAATCACTGGAACTCCCCAAACCTAGGTTGATTCATCTATAAAATGCCCACAGAGCTCTAAAGAGCACCAAGGAAGATAATGCACAAAGGCAAACACAGTAAGTTCTAGGTTCATTATTATGGCCGAGAAGTTGGAAGAACATACTCTATTGGCAGCTGCATGTATCTTCCAAACCCAGTAGAAAAAAACAGAAACTAACATCACACCTAAAACCAGCTCCTCAGAAGCCAAAGAAAGCTTCTTTTAATCAAAATCATTAAAATGTCAAACTTGTACTTTTCTCAGTCAGCAAGGCTGGTCATACACATTCTCATGCCCTGAGTTGTAAAGTTTCTTACTCCCATTTCTTTGCCTCTGCATGTTTGTTCAACTGTAAATAGTGATTACAAAGGCCCTGGTATATATGTGTCTGTGTGTACACACAAGTAAACATGCACCTTTAGGGTGGGTTGGGGAAACAGTGCTGCTGTTTCCTGGCAGGAAATCAAGACCTAGAGAAATCACACACTGAACCCACTCAGAACTCAGAACTAGGAACGTGAGATACCAGTCCTCTGACCCCAACCCTGCACACTACCCCCACAGAGCCCAGAGTTCCTAAAGATGGGGGACTGAATCCCCTTACCCAAATGCCACCGCCCCAGCAATCGCCAATCCCAGGGCTGCAGATTTTCCCCGTCCTCGAGCAGCTGTGAGTGCAACAGTACTCCTCAGGGTCTTTTCAGAGATGCCCTCGATAAATTTCAAGACAGCTTTGGCCTGTGGAAACAGAAACATATTAGGTGAACTCCAAGAAAGACCCAAGTTTCCACCATTCATCACCATCACTGTGGAGAAGTGAGGTTGATGCCAGGCTAAATAAGAGGGCGGCAGTTCTTGCAGGCCAGAAAGCACTGCTCAGCACCTGGACTTCTCACTCCCTTGGTCATCTCATTTCAGTCTCAAGGCCTTTGGTACCAATTTTTAATAGATGCTGATAACTCAAATTTACAGCTTCAGTCTGGACCACTTCCCTGCACATCAGACTTTTTTTTTCCTTCTGAGATGGAGTTTCACTCTTGTTGCCCAGGCTGGAGTGCAATGGTGCGATCTCGGCTCACTGCAACCTCCACCTCCCAGGTTCAAGCGATTTTCCTGCCTCAGCCTCCTGAGTAACTGAGATTACAGGCGCTTGCCACCACGCCCAGCTAGTTTTTATATTTTTAGTAGAGACAGGGTTTCACCATGTTGGGCAGGCTGGTCTCGAACTCCTAACCTCAGGCGATCCGCCTGCCTCAGCCTCCCAAAGTGCTGGGATTACAGGGGTGAGCCATGGCACCTGGTCCACACCAGACCTTTTTTTTTTTTTTTTTTTTTTTTGAGACAGAGTCTCGCTCTGTCACCAGGCTGGAGTGCAGTGGCATGATCTCAGCTCACTTCAACCTCCACCTCCTGGGTTCAAGTGATTCTCCTGCCTCAGCCTCCCAAGTAGCTAGGATTACAGGCGCACACCACCATGCCCAGCTAATTTTTGTATTTTTAGTAGAGACGGGGTTTCACCATGTTGGCCAGGATGATCTCAATCTCTTGACCTCGTGATCCGCTCACCTCAGCCTTCCAAAGTGCTGGGATTACAGGCGTGAGCCACCACACCTGGCTGGCCCACACCAGACTTTTATACACATGCAACTGCTTCCTGTACATTCCCATTTGTACACTACAGATCTCAAACTTTAAACTGAACGCCTAAAGTTGCCCCAAACCTCCTCCACCTAGTCTTCCCCATCTAACTGTTCAACTGCTTGGGCCAAAGCCTCCTCAATTCTTCCCTGATAACTTGATTCGTCAGCGAATCCTGTTACCTCCAAAACATATATAAAATCCTACCATTTCTTACTTACACCACTATCCTCCTCTACTGCTCTGCTCAAAGCCACCACCCTATCCTTCTTCCATCATGACAGCAGCCTCCTGATCAGTCTTCCTGCTGCCACCCTCACTCCACCAGTCTATATTCAACACAGCAGCCAGACGATCCTCTTAAAAAGAAGCCTGGGGATGCCTCTGGCAGCTGTGCTGAAAGGAGACTATGGGCATAAAAGCCTCCACTGCTCCCATCTGTTATAGAGTAAGTGTGAAAGCCCTGCCAGTGGCCTGAAAGATCCTCCAAAAATCTCCTCCTCCACCCCTACTCACCCTGCTTCAGCCCCTCAGCCTCCCTGCCAGGCCTAGGACACCGGAGGGACACCCCTCCCCCAGGCCCATGCACATGCTGCTTCCTCTGCCTGAAGCAGTGGCTCCCCAAGAGCCACAGGGCTTGTTTCCTCACCTCGCCTCCTTCATGGCTTGGCTCCAAAATCACCTCCTACATGAGGCCACCCCTGCCCCTGTATGTAGAACCACAGCGCCCCACCCTCATCTGGCATGCCCTATCCCTCTTTGCAACTTTTTCTTTCTTCCCATTGTACGTAGCATCTTCTGCTTCACCATATGGTCTGCTCATGTCTTTTATTTACTGACTGTCTCATCTCACTAGGAGGCAAGCTCCATGAAGCAGGTGCATCCCTCTTGTCTACTGCTGGGCCCCCAGTGCCTACAGGAGCGCCTAGAAGTAAAAGCAAGATGCCAGTGACACTGAAGGACAGGAGCCACTAACTACTTAGGGGCCAAACTTTGCTCCTCAGCTGGATCTGTGCTGGGAATAGGTGTTTGAGGGTGGGAAGAAGGCCAGATGGTCCTGAGAAGTTGTCATGCTTGCCTAGGCAATGATGCTAAGAAGACACTGAAGAGACACAGGCCAAGGTAGATGGAAGGGGAGAGGCTTCAGGAAGCCAGAGTTTCTCCAGATGAAAATACTCAAAGGGAATCCAGGTCGTATTTAACTTGGCCTTGCCTGAAGGCTGTATTTTATCATTTTGTTTTATATTATAGAAGTTATAAACTCTGAAAAATCCAATGACATAACAGAATGGTACCAAATCTAGACTAAAATGCATCCTAAAATGAAGAACCAATACAAAAAAGGCCAAAATCCAAGTAAAAAGTGGGCAGAGGAAATAAGCAGACCGGCTCACCAAAAAAAAAAAAAAAAAAAACCAACAGCAACAACAACAACAACAAAACAACAGATGACCAATAATTATATGAAGAAGGTACCCTCCTCTCTCCTAATTAAAGCAGCAACACAAATTAAAACGGTCCTATGTTCTCATATCAGATTAGTAAAGACTTACAAGTTTACTAGGAATCACGGCTGCGAGGGTGTAGAGAAAAAGGCATTTCCACACACTGGATAGTTCCATCAACTGGTACAACACCCATTTGAATACACACAACCTCTCATCCAGCAACTTCTCTTCTGGAAACGTATCCTAAATATAGTGCCCACAGACTTATCTGTAAGAATCCCCTAAGAGCACTGTTTCTAACAGTGGAAATGCTGGAATCAATCGAAATGTCTAACAGGGGACCACTTACACTCTGTAGTATGACCCCTTCGCATTTAATTCATTTATGTGCATGAAAAAAGAGGCAGCAGGATACATAATAAACTGTTAATAGCAGTTGTTTCTGCAGAGTGAAACTGCCAAGTGGAAACACCACTTCTTATTTTTTTATGTACTCTTTTTCTATTAACTTTTTGGTTTTTTTTGGTCATAGGCCATTTGTTTTCTTATAACACTACTTAACTAGAATCAGTTTCTCCTGCTTTATCCTATCACTCACTCCTTCTCTTTTGTGATAAAGAGGGTACCAGGAAGTGAATCAAAAAAGCCTAGGGCCTGCAGCTGGAGCTGCATAGAGAGCTATGTAGCTGCTGATCATATTTCCAGAATGAAAAGGGAAGCCAGCCTGCTGGGACTCAGCCCTAAGCGGGAGGTGTCACTGCAGCTATCTTCCCTCTCAAGGGCAGCGACCCATGCTGCTCATTTGGCTCAGGGTGACCTAGAACCCTGAACACACCTGACAGTTCAAAGACCTCTGGGCTGTGCCCAGTCAGTTCCCATCATGGCCCAGGAACCACCAGAGAAGCCAAGTTTACCAGTGCAGACCACCTCAATGAGCACAGAAATGCAACCTGTAAGCTCTCACCCAGCCTGCTATTTGCACTCAAAGACCAGGTACGTATTACCCCAGAGGGCCCTCATCAGGCCTCGCACTGGAACCAGGGTAAATACCAGACTAGGGGCCTCAAGTTCTCCTCTCACTTCTGAATAAGCTATAGGCAAAAGCCTTTATATCATCAAAACTTAACTGAAATTTCAGAACACAGGTATGTTGCCCTCTCTTGGAAAAAGTGGTGAGAGGATTCCTCTTTCAATGTAATCTGTCCAGATGTAGTGGATCATGCCTGTAATCTCAGCACCTTAGGAGGTTGAGGCAGGAGAACTGCTTGAGGCCAGGGGTTCGAAGTTACAGTGAGCCGTGATCATGCCACTGCACTCCAGCTTGGGTGACAGAGTGAGACTCCGTCTTTTAAAAAATAATAATAATAATAATTCATCTGCTCTATCTGTAGCCTGACTAGGGGGAGGTAATCCCCAGACTTCTTTTGGGAACCCACACAACATGAAATAGCCCTACTGTTGCTGAGCACACACGAGTATGAGCAAGGGGAAAAGTCCCCTTCTCCAGGGAGGGTCTGGGTCTTGAGTCAACGTACCTTGGCTTCTGTTACGCTCCGTATGCTATGTTTTACTACCTTTGTGTTGGAAGTGCTGAGCACCACACTCACCTGGTCTAGAGTCTTACAGCAGTCCACCAACACACCCACAGGCTGGGTGTCCTGCAAGCTCTCCTTCAACTCCCTCAGCTCCAGATCAGAAGGACCAAGACTCTCATCCTACCAGAGAGAGGAGAAGGGGAAGGTCTGTCACTGTCACAGGAGGAACAACACAGAAAACGTAGCCTCCCCCAGATTCCTGGACCCCAGCACAGACTCACCGGAGTCTGGGGAGGCAGGGCCTCCATGGTGGCAACGTGGGAGGAGATGGGCAGGATGTTGAGCTGGTCATCAATGACGAGACACTTCTTACAAGAGGCCAGAGACAGAATAAACCTGAGATACAAAACCGCTGCAATGAAGTGTTGGGGAGGGCATGCAATGTCTATACAGAGTATAACTTTTCTTCAAAAAAATTAACTGGCCCCAAGTGTCTCTAAGAAAGCCAGAAAAAGCTAAAACCTAGTTGGAGAGCAGTGTGAGATGATTCAGCACCTCCTCCACAAGGCACCTGAACATACTTTATACAGCAAATCAGAAAACCAAGGACTCATCCCAGGAGATCAATTAGAAGCCCTCCTGTTGTGCATGACTGCCACTATTCCCTACACCACGTGGCCCTCTCCTCATCCTCCCAGGCTTGCTCTTTAGCACTGAGGTGTTTCAGGCCATCCTTAAATGGGGAATTCCAAACCCAACCCCCATATGATCACCAGTCACACAGGGAAAAAATACAAATGAATTCATCTTTTGTCACTAGGAAAAAGAAAAAAAAGGAAGAAGGTGAAAGGAAAGCTCCCCAAAGAAATACAATACAAACGTTCTTGCAAGCAGGGAAAAAAATGCGTTTGACTATAAAATTCAAACATCCTCCCACTGCAAGAAAAGGATTTCATAGGCTTCTGTTGTATTCAGTAGCACACAGCTGCTCCTCCTGATCTGCTCATTCTACTGACTTAGTGCATCACAGATGGTTAAAATGAGAAAGGCCCCCAGGGTTCATCAAGGCTCGGATTTCTACACCTCAGCACTACTGACATTTTGGACCAGATAATTCTTTGGTGTGGAGCTGTCCTGTGCACCACCAGTTGTTCAGCAGCATCCCTGGCCTCTACCCACCGGATGCCCACGGCACCCACCACCACCCTCCCAAAGTCATTACGATCAAAACATTTCCAGACATTGCCAAATGTCCCCAGGGGGCCAAATGGCTCCAGATGAGAACCACTGATTTAGGTCAAAATTTCCTAAGGTGTTTCACAGGGTGCTAACTGGTGTTCCCACACCCCTCAAAAAAATAAATTTTTTTGGTAAAATAAATTTGGGAAACAATCAGTTAAACAGGTCCCTGCTGCTGCAAGACTTTTCAGAGATTACAACAGGCTGGGGCAAATCTTCATAAAGGAAAAAACGGTATAGGTGTTTCCCAGACATATATGGCCAAACCCTCCTCATATGTTCCCTCTTAAAAGACTAGTGTTCTATGATCGGGCACGGTGGCTCACGCCTGTAATCCCAGCACTTTGGGAGGCCAAAGTGAGCAGATCACTTGAGGTCAGGAGTTCGACACCAGCCTGGCCAACACAGTGAAAACCCCACCTCTACTAAAAATACAAAAAATGGCCAGGCACGGTGGCTCATACATGCAATCCTAGCACTTTGGGAGACTGAGTGGGGCAGATCACTTGAGGTCAGGAGTTCAGGACCAGCCTGGCCAACATGGTGAAACCTTGTCTCTACTAAAAATACAAAAATTAGCCAGGCATGGTGGTGGGCTCCTGTAATCCCGGCTACTTGGGAAGCTGAGGCACAAGAATTGCTTGAATGCGGGAGGCAGAGGTTGCAGTGAGCCAAGATCGTGTCTCTGTACTCCAGCCTGGGCAACAGAGCGAGACTCTGTCTCAAAAAAATAATAATAATAATACAAAAAATTAGCCGAGTGTGGTGGCGGGCACCTGTAATCCCAGCTACTCGGGAGGCTGATACAGGAGAATCACTCGACCTGGGAGGCAAAGGTTGCAGTGAGCCAAAATCGCACCACTACACTCCAGCCTGGGCAACACAGCAAGACTCCATCTCAAAAAAATAAATAAATAAAATAAAAATAAATACATACAAATTTAATTTCAGATAACAAACCGTACACCATATTTGAAATTATGGGTGTTCCTTTGCTCAGAAGAAACACTTTGTCGCCTTTTTCTGCCTCTAATTACATCTCACCCCACCTCCCATATTTCTCTTAATCATTTTTACTATGCCAGTACGTCATATTCATAATAAAAAGTTTGGAAAGACTACTGCTCTATGAAATATCTTCTGGGAAGCAGTGATCCAGAAAAATCACTCATTTAAAAGATGAGTAAGCTAAGAACCAGAGAGAGTAACCTGGTTTAACTGAGCTGTCAAGGCCAGCAGCAAGACAAAATTGAGGTTTCCTGGCTCCAACTTTCCACCACGTTTCACTGCTTCCAGTTAGTCTCACAACTGCTGCTGCTGTCAAGAATCTCATCATTTTTGGAATATTGTACTACTTTCCCCAATATAAAAGCAAAGTTTTCAGTTGAGTCCAAGATAAAAATGTCCCTCCCAATGTGGCTGCCCCACAATTGGGGGGAACTATAGAATTACCTTTCATTAAATCTTCCCACCACATCCTGATGGGCCTCAGTTCTGTACCTGGAATGCACATCCTAACAAAGAAAGACAACATCCATTAACAAAGGCATGCAAACAGTGCTGAGGACCAGGGTCCAAATACAAAGCTCTATCCAAGGAGACATGGGCAATCTTGCTGGAAACAAAATCACTCCCACACACACTGCTGTGCCAAATGGTATTTGCTGAAACTGGGATCAGACACTGAATGCAACGTTGCTTATTAAAATCTTTCACTTTTCCACATTTTTCCTAGCATCCTAAGTTATATTCATTTATTTCATAAAATTGGCATGCTGTGTGCCAGATATGCTGTGCATACACTAATGAACAAAGCATGACCTCTGTTCTCATGGCACTTGGAGTATAATGGATGGAGGAAGAAAAATTAGTAGATAAATACAAATTTTGACAAATGCTACATATGAAATATAGACTGCACGGATAGCAAGTGGGGGTCACTTATGTAGGGTAGTGAGGGAGGGCCTCTCTGAGATAAGCTGAGGCCTGAAGGGTAAGTAGGTAGCTATGTCAGAGGGAGAGGAAGAACAAACTGATGTGAGCACAAAGTCATTCATTCACTCTCAACTATCTAAGGAATGCTTACTAAATGCCAGGAACTCTTCTAAGATCTGGAAATGCAACAGCAAAGAAAACTAACTCTCTGTTCCCATCAAATTTATTTACTTATTTATTTATTTTGAGACGGAGTCTTGCTCTGTTGCCCAGGCTGGAGTGCAGTGGCGTGACCTCAGCTCACCGCAACCTCCGCCTCCTGAGTTCAAGCAATTCTCCTGCCTCAGCCTCCCTAGTAGCTGGAATTACAGGTGTGCACCACCACACCTGGTTAATTTTTTTTGTATTTTTGGTAGAGACGAGGTTTCACCATGTTGGCCAGGCTGGTCTCAAACTCCTGACCTCAGGTGATCCGCCCACCTCAGGCTCCCAAAGTGCTAGGATTACAGGCGTGAGCCACTGTGATCGGCCCTCCAGTGAAATTTAGAGACTAGTACAGGAGGACAGACAAATAATAATAATAACTTTAGGTCATTGTCAAGTGCTTTGAAGAAAAATAAAGCCGGTTAAGGAGTGACAGGCGGAGCTGCCTACTGTAAACAGGGTGTGAGGAAAGACCACATGGATGAGGTGATATCTGAGCAGGGGCTTGAATGCAATGAGGAAGCGAGCCAGGCAGAGGTCCAGAGGAAGCACATTCCAGTGGGAACAGCAAGTGCCGAGGCCCTCGCAGGAGTGTGTGCTGGGCATGTCTGAGGACATTTGAGGAGGCCAAAAGGGCTGTAGTGCAAGTGATGAAGGGAGAAGTAATGACAGGAAACAGCCCCTAAGATTTGAGGAAAGTCCATTTCATCAGATAAATGCAGCTCAGGAAACCCTAAGTCCAATCCGACCACCATTACTGAGCTGCTGGACATGGGCATGACTTAAAACTTGCCTCTGAACACTGACTTGGCAACGCTGATAAAGTGAGGAGACCAGCTCTGCATCAGGTGAGACATATCCCTAATTCCTCACCATGTCCTCAGTCAGTGTCTTTTGCTTTGGGAGAACACAATCTCTGCTGGAGTTGAAATTCTTGCCAAACTGGAGTACAACTGGCAAATGTTCCTTCGTCATCCATTAGGATAAGGGCCAGTGAGCAGTCTGCACATGGTCCTTTTTTTGCAATACACAAATTTAGGCACTGGCATTGCTCCTTGTACAATATCATTCCAGAAAATTTAACTACATAAAAGCTGTATCATATCTGAATCTCACTGGTGTAGAATTTGCAAGTGCCTGAAAACAAAGGTGAAATTCAGAGATTCCTAGGCATACTCATGGACCCTGAGATTTAACTGTAGTGACTTTTTCATTAGTTAAAATCAAAGAGCTCTTAGCCCAGAGGCTGTGCTGACTACTCACTGGAGCTGCCCAACAGGAATTCTTTAAAGAAAGCAGAACACAGCAAAAACAGATTTACTTGAACCCTCACAATTAAGTTAAAAAACAGATGCTTACCATAGTCACTGTGTACAATTGCTTGAGTGAGTTCATGGTCCGTAGGAGGATGACCACTAGCCCACCACCTTCCACTGTTTCTACAGTCCTGGCCAGCAAGTTTGGAGTTAAGGCTTCAAAATCCTGGAAGAAGGGGGCGTTAGAAAGGGCTGGTCATGCAAATAGCAACCCAAAGGACTTTTTTTTTTTTTTTTTTTTTTTTGAGATGGAGTCTTGCTCTGTCGCCCAGGCTGGAGTGCAGTGGCGCAATCTTGGCTCACCACCCACCTGAGCCTCCCAAAGTGCTGGGATTACAGGCATGAGCCACCGCGCCTGGCCCAACCCAAGGGACTCTTAACCAAAAGCCAGGTGATAAGGCAAAAAGAAGACTTCAGAGCACAAAGCCAAGACCATACCTGTTCCCACCTTGACTTCCCAGGATACACACACAGGGGTACCACAGAAGAGGGCCAAACCCTCGAATATACGAATACCTGGTTTTATATGCCAAAAACGGGTCTCTTATTAGAGACGTTGTTAGTTTTATATGTCAAAAATGTCTCTGATAAAATCCTATTTGGAAACAAATTTTCCAACCTTCACTGATTCATACTTGAATTTCAGAAACATCTTACATTTTCTGACATTTATAGCTCAAACCTGTTTGACAAAACTATACTACATGGGGGAGCTACTGCTCACAGGAGTCATTATTCAGGCAATTGATCATGGCAGCAAGTAGAAGACCACTCCCTACCAATCAGTGATAACCCAGGGCATTTCCCTGAGTAAAGGTGAAAATGAGGCATAATGCCCTCTTTCTTGGCCTCCAAGGTGAGATGCAAGCCAGCAGTATAGGAGACAACCCATATTTTGCAAGGTATGTAACTTGACATAATAATGGGCACAGTTGTAAGTGTATATGATAAACACACAAAAATGTGAGGATTTGTGCTTAATTTTGTCTTGTCTTTTTTGGGAGAATGGGGAAGGGAGGTGGCACAGGAATCAAAGAAACAAAGAATAAAACAAAGACCACCAGTGCTTACACACACATGCACACACACACACACAAAGTGAAACTTAGTCTATTAACTTGCCAGGCAAGAGAATACACACCAGTGCAGAAATTCACCAAGTAGTCTCTGAGAGGTAAAGTGAGGGGTTTTTAAGGGCTAGAAAAGGGGAGAGGGGCCTTCATGGTGGGTATGCCACTCAGGCACTCTGGACAGGACATTTAAGTGCATTGGTCTATATCCGGTTGGAAAACAAGTCCCATTGCTCACTGGACAAAAAAAGTCTTTGGTGAATGCCAATAAGGACCTAGGGTCCTAGAGGCACTCAAAGTCTCTGGCATTTGCTTTATCAGCTTTAGCTAGTTAGAACCCGTTATAATAACTCATCACTTCAGTTCTGGTGTCTCTAGACAAGTGCTGATTTAAAATTCTCTTTTTATATGGGGTAGGTGACCGAGTGTACTTTGGAAAGTGGCCAGGACTTCCACTAATAATGCTTGGGCATAGGGAACATGGGACTCTCCTCTCCTTACTGTACATCTGTTCCCAGTGGAAAGCCAGGCAGCCCAAGCAACCCTCAAGACTCTGACTTCAATCACAGGTTAGAGGAAGCCACCCACCTGCAGCACACACATGCCGAAGGTATTGCCCAGGATCTTGTGGGTCTCGTTGTAGTAGCAGTAGCGAATGTTTGTGGCTGCTATGAAGAGTTCAAAGGGGTCGTCCTGCTTTATGTTCAGTGTTCCATTCTTTATTTTCTTCTGCAGCTGTCGCATTCTTTTCTTCCGGTGACTGCAATCACACACCCCCAATCCCATGAGAGCCAGTTAACCAGAGCAGCTAAAGAGCTGGAACCAGGGGAAAGGCTCAGTGATCACCCACTTAGACTTTCAGAGCTAGTAGGGAACTTGAAAGTGTGAGGCCCACTTCAGGTGGAGGGCAGTGGAGAGGCATGAGAGGCATTAGAGTGCTTAAGGGCTTGGAGTAAGTGATAAGTCTATGTGTGAACTCTGCTATTTTGCCCTGTGACCTTGAGCAAATACTTTGCTTTAAAAGATGGGTAATAGGGTAGCTAACCCTCACATTTGGCCAAAGCCAGAGCTTGAAACCAAACCTGAGTGGCCTCATTATCTCAGTCATAAGCCAATGCTTCAACTACACTGTGCTGTTCCCCAGAGATCCTAGGAAAGACAAGGTGATGGCACGTTACTTTATTCATCCTTCCTAGAGGACTTCCTCCCCGAGAATGTGGGATTATGTCTTCAAGGGCAGGTCTTACATAAGACAATAATGATACAGGACACAGGGATCAGAATGGAATCTGGACATCTCTAAGGAATTCCTGAATTTTTTTGGTCTTAAAAACCCTGCATATCCAGTTGCTACTTACCTTTCCTTTACCAAAAGAGAGAATTAGAATGTTCTAGAATGGAGGATTACAGCTGATCAAAATTTTACCATAGTTCTCTAACTTAATAGCTAGAACAAAGGCCTTTCCTCCTGTGGGCCTCCACTTCCTCATCTATGAACCAAGGCAGTGGGTGAGTTTGTCTCCACTGTCCCTTCTGGCTCAGGCCTTAAGCCCGTGACTTACAAACAGGCATTAGCTTGAACACAATGCTCTGCCAGACTAAGACAGGGGTGGGGCAGAAGAGCTATAAGAGGTACAAAAGTAGATTTTTAGAAGTGAAGCCAGGTGGTTTAAATTCAAAAGGCAAATCTGCCCAGAAGACTTTGAACTGCCTAATTCCACACCCATCTCATATTTGCCAAATGAAAAATAGTGAAAACCAGAAGCCCTAAAAACTTAAAATTCTGGGATAGACAACAGGCCTTATTCTCAATCTGTATTAAAAATGCCTACCTCTCTAAATATGAGAGTATATACAACAGAATACCAATTATGGTTCAAAACTACATCCCTGTAAGATACACCTAGATGCTGACAATGCCTAGACAGTGAGATGTTTTTTATTTTCATCTTTGGGTTTTCTGCACTTTTCACATTTCATCAGTAAGGCTCTTATGATTGTCTGGTTTCCTTTAGGCAGAATCCCTTCACTTTAAGACCACAGGACAGGGGCAAGTTTAGCCTCTGGTACTAATTTAAATTAAAATAATTTTAGAGCCTGTTAACAACACATCCAACTCAATGTATACTGAGTACCTATGATAAACATGCTAAATCAGTTAAAAGTATGAAAATACAAAGATAAATAGAAGAGGGCTCCTAACTAAATAAGCTTATCACCTGAAAGTAAAAAAAAAAAAAAAAAAAAAAAAAGGGAAAGAAAAAAAAATGAACGTAAGTCACAGTATGTAAGTGACTTTACCCTAAAGCAAAAGCATCCATTGGCAAACATTATAGGAGAAGGACAAGTGCAGAGGAAGGTAGAGGAACCACCAGGTATGACTGGGGGGCTCAGGAAAAGTTTCACGGAGGAGGCAGGCCCTGAGAAACAGGATTTCAATAGGTGATACCGGGGAGGTGGAAGTGGCATTCCAAGCAGAGGAGACAGCATGAGCAAAGAAAAGGAGGGAGGTTAGTCACAGCATAAAGCAACCAGAGCTGGAGACAGGCTTTCAGAGTCAGATCGGAGATGAGCACATTTGGAAATTAGAAGAGGCTCAAGGACAGAATCGCACAAGCCAGCTAGGTTTAGAGTAAGGAGACGAGATCCAGAGAAAGAGAAGAGCTCCGGAAGGTGGTCTGAGTAAAGACACTGAAGCCAAAAAAGGAGACTATTTCTTAGGTGATGCCATGGTGGTTATCTGCCAAGGAACAGCACTACCCACCCCATCCAAACTTCTCCAAACACAAAGTTGTAGGTAGAACTTCCAACTTTGTATTATGCTATGACCAACCCCACCCTCCTCTGGCCAGGTGTGGGCATTTTTCCACCAGAATTTTGGGAAAAAGTCTGATTTCCACATGGCTGGGCCTGAAACAAGGAAAACGCAAGTGTTGTTTCTGCTAGGGGGACAACAGAAAACAGAAAGCTGGTCTGCAGTGAGAAAGTTGGTCTGCATAGAGCAGATACACTGAGATGACAAACTGAGCTGGGAGCATTAGTACTGTGACTCTAGATCACCCGTGAGCAGAGCTGAAATCTTATCCCCTTGGATTCCAGGAAATATCCCATATACCTCAATGAAATCCCTTTGTGCCAAATTGTATTTGTGTTGAAAGTATGTTATCTATGACTAAAAGTCTTGACTACCACAGCTTCAAATAGCCAACTGTCAAATACAGCAGTGAACTGGTAGAAGAAGAGGCAGAGCTCTGAAAAGGAGGAGAAAGAGAGAGAAAAGTTGACGCATTAGGCATCAAGCTGCTGGGGATGTCTAACTGCACAATTTGATCACAATTATAGAAGCAGAAACCAGACTGCAAAAGTGGCTACTAAGTGCAAAAGATTTCTGTTTTAAGGTATATGGCAATAAAAATCGGGGGAAATGCTAACCTGAGAGAGAAATCTGGGTATGTAAGTAATCAGCTTTTGATAATAGAAAAATCTGAGCATGTTTACAGGAAGGAGAAAGTTTCCAAAGGGTATTGGGTGGCCAGCAGAGGAAAGACAATACAGGTCCTGAAAGAGGTGAGGGAGGAGACACAGGGTACATAAAGGGGTTTTCCTTGGACATGGGATGAGGCATATACCCCCTCCATGAAAGAAGGGGAGAAAAAGAGAGAGAGTGAAAAGTGGAATAAATTTGAGGTAGGAAAGACAGTTTGAAGGAACTTGCAATGAGATGGGCTTAATCAGCCTAGAAAAGCAGGAAGGAAAACCATATGCAGAAGGCAAGGCATTGGATTGGTGACTTAAAAAGCATGAAAATGATTTGAAACTTATTTTCAGGAATGAAGAAAGGATATCAGCTCCATTTGTCCTCAGAGATAGCACCTCCACTAAAGACCCTTAAAAAATATGTGAAGGAATCATTTCCTGGCATTTAACTAATGAGCAGGAATTGTAAGTTGGATAAAACACATGAAGAGCCCAGCTTACCTGCTAAACCCCAGCTCTTTCTTATAACACCACAGCACTGAAGGCCGAGCCTTCACAGTTGCTTTGGATAACATGTGATGAAGTATTACCACCTGCCAAACAAAAAAGTCACAGAATTTCAGGCACAAAAGAGACTTTAGAGACCGCCAGGCTTAAGACCTCATTTGACGGATGTGGAAACTAAACTGAGGGCCAGGGAAGGGAAGTGCCCAAGGTTCTAAGGCGAGCAATGACCAGGTTTGGACTAGAAGCCAGGTCACATACAGTTCACTTTGTGGTCAACCCACCACCCCAGGCTTCAAAAGGTATTAGCTTGTCTGCGAATCAATCTAAATACAGAGAATTCACCACTTCCAGGAAATAAAGAAAGGTTCCCACTAGGCATCTTACCAGCCAAAGAGATCTTAATGCCATTATGTCCTGAAACAGCAGAGTGCTTAAACATGCTGATTCTTTGGACAAGATAAAAAGTAATTCAGGAAGCATTTACCAGGCCATACCTGATCTTTTCCTCGATCCCCAACTACAACAAAGAGAGATCTTTGCCGCTCAGCTACTCCATTCTCAATGAGAATCCGGATTCGGTTATCCACCTTTTTCCGATGCATGGTGAAAAATTATTACTAAAAGAGAAAGAAATACAACTGGCCATGCGCACTAGATTGTCTAAGGAACATTAGCTGGCTGCCTTTTGTGGGGCCTGGGACTGTGCTAGGCATATCTATAAGTATTGTCTTACTTAACCCTCTACGAGCTCCACAGGAAGACATCAGCCTCTAGTTTTAAACTCAGGAAACCTTAGGCTTGGGAGGTGAGAAAACCTTCCCTCAGCCTGGAAAGCCTGTAATTCACCTCTATTAAATATTTTTTAAAAGCCAGAAACTTGTATATTCAAAAAAGTAGAAGAATGACTAAAATACATAAGGAGATATCCAAATATCCAAAGCATTGTTTGTTTTTGAGACGGAGTCTCACTCTGTCGCCAGGCTGGAGTGCAATGGCATGATCTCGGCTCACTGCAACCTCTGCTTCCTGGGTTCAAGCAATCCTCCTGCCTCAACCTCCCAGGTAGCTGGGACTACAGGCGCATATGTTGGCCAGGATGGTCTCGATCTCTTGACCTCGCAATCTGCCCACCTCAGCCTCCCAAAGGGCTGGGATTACAGGTGTGAGCCACCATGCTGGGCCAAGCATTTTTAACAACTAAGGATATGGATATAGATGCTTATGACAAGATCATGACAGAATAAAGTATGATAACATTTCTTATGCATACACATAACAGAGGGAAAAATAAAAAAGACTGGAAGGAAATACCAAAGTATAAAGTAGCTACTTCTGGATGGTGGGACTTTTATTTTGTTCTTTTGTTTTTGTGGAATCTTAAAAAATTCACGTGTTACTAATAAAGTCAGGGAAATCAATAACCATCAATGAATAATTCCATGATGTAATGTGTCCAACTGTTTCCTCATTTTAGGGAAAACGATATTGAAGCCTTTGTACAGACAGACCTCAAAAGTTCTCGCCGGGAGTGGTGGTTCATGCCTGTAAGCCCAGCACTTTGGGAGGCCGAGGCGGGTGGATCACCTGAGGTCAGGAATTCAAGAGTATGGCGAAACCCCGTCTCTACTAAAAATACAAAACTTAGCCGGGAGTGGTAGTGGAGCTGCAGGAGAGGCTGAGGCAAGAGAATCACTTGAATCCGGTAGGCGGAAGTTGCAGTGAGCCGAGATGGTGTGCCATTGCACTCCAGCCTAGGCGACAGAGTGAGACTCCGTCTCAAAAAAAAAAAAAAAAAAGTTCTGTGATTACCTACAGTAAAATACTGCATCATCCCAATAAATACATCAAAAAAACCATCAGAAATATCACTGTAAAAGTAACATGCTACTTAGATGTAAAAGTGACATGCTACTTAGAAACTCTGGTACCTACTGCATTATAAACATAAAGCTCATTTACTGAAACTTACCATACCTTAACTGTCCCTTCTAACCTTCCAATCCAAACAGATTTTAGCATATGTCTTACTATAAAACACTAAGTCACTGTCAAGGACCCCAATTTATACGTAAAGGAGAAAGTATAAAGAATTCAAATATCCCGAGGCAGAAAAACGACAGACAGAATTCACACTCAAGTCTTCCTGACTCCAAAGCCTGAGCTCTTCCCAGTTCGCCAATCTTCCCAACTTGTAAACCTTGTGTTGCCGGCCACATAAAGATCCCGCAAAAATCAATCAACAACTAATTAATGGGGGCTGCCTTTTGCTCTAGCTACTGTGGGAGCCCCAGAAGTAGTACCACAAGGCCCTTGACTTCAAGCTTGCATTCTTCTTGAAGAAGGTATTTAAGAGAATGAGATGAGGAACAAGAACACAGGTAAAATTAGATGTAAAAAAAAAAAAAATAGCTATACTGAGGGACCGGTCAGATGAAGGAAGGGCTGAGATTACTATGGGCTGAAGCTGTCATGGAAGGCCTGGATGGGGAAGGCCTTGAAGGAGATGATTATTTTTCGCTCACTCATTCGTCTATCTACACATAACATCTATGTGGCAGGCACCATTTTAGGTGCACTGGCAAACAAAACCAAGTCCTGAATGTGACTGCTGAATAAAGAGTATAAAGGAATGTGCACAGTGAAGGATTTAAGAACGTGGAAGGATCTGGAATCAGATTACCCTAAGTATAATGCCCAGACCTGCAGCCAGGCACTGCGGGCAAGCTCCACGGAAAACAACTGTTGTCACCCACCCATTCACCCCGACTCCCCAGTTACAGGCACTACTTAGAGGTGGTTATCGAGCCACGCAAATCCCCGAGGACGCTCGAGAAGCACGCGCCGAGAGCGGCTGCGTATTGGAGAGGTGATTCTGTTATCTTGGAGCGCCCCAAAAGAGGGGTGGAGGACAAACGGCGTAGGCCAGGTATCCGTCCGGATGCAGAGCCTTCATCCTGAGGCCGGTCCCCTCTCGACCCAGGAAGAACACAGACACCGATCTTGGCATCCATACCCGGCCCTCCCGCGTTGGGTACCTGCGCCCCGAGCCCGGGGGATCCCAGCCAGTGGAGAAGGGGAAGCACGTGGGAGCACGGAACAACTCCGAAAGAGAAGGCACAGCTGACTGCCCCTAGCGTATGCCTGGTGTCCGGGTCACGTAGTAAGCCTGGCTCCGCGGCACGCGTCCCTCTCAGGAACTGGTAGACAGCACGTGCGCAAGCGCATTAAAGTCGCAGAGATGGCGAGCGAGAAGGGACCTTCCTCAAGGCTGTCGCTGAGTAATGACGTAAGCCACCAGAAGCGGAGCTGAGGCCTAGATGTCCACTGCGGTTGCGCATTTTAGTCCCACTGCTCGCGGTAGCTGGGTGTTGGCTGCGGTTTGCCTCTTCACTCTTCATATCCCAGCTAAAGTACCTCGGCTAAGAAGGGCAAAATAGATGTCCGCACCCCAGGGCCTGCCCACGTAGGTCCAGGGTTTTCAGCGTCAGCCTGGTTACGCGAAACGCGACGGATCCAACGATTTGTGTTCAATTTAACCGATCCCCGTTAAGTTGAGGAAACTCGGCCAACAGACCTATTTTATTGGTTTCGCTTGGCCCTCCACCCCCACAGTACTGATCTTACAGATGGGAATCCTGTAATCTACCCATGACTGCGGCCGCTGTACTTTGCAGGCTCCCATTAGGCCTGTATATGGTCGTCAAATGAAATTACTCCCCCTGGGCTTCCAGTGAACTCCAAGAACATGACTACAGGGACAACCTATACATAGTGTTGCATTCTTGACTTTGGGGCAGATCGCTGAACTTCAAAAAACATTATCAACTGCTTGATGTTTCCTCCTGGATACCGCAAATGTCTGAATCCAAACCCCTTCCCCAGATACACTTTTAATGTCATCAGCAGCACTACCCATTTAATCCAACATCCATCATGAAATTTTTTAGTTCATTCAGCAAAATGTGAATATGCCCACGCACTATTCTGCTCACAAGGGATAGTGTCCAAAATGTTCCTGCCCCTCGTGGTTAATTCTAGGTTAAGTTTTAAATGCTATTAAGCAGAAGTATCCAGTGAGTAAAGTGACTAAGGATACTATTTTAGAAACGAACACTGAAGGCCTCTGACGGGGTGACACTGGATGGAACAAGGACCTGAAATTTAGAAAGAATGAGCCCTGAGAATATGAGTGAAAAACTTCCCCGTGCCAAAGATGTACATACAAAAGCTCCAAGATGGGGGAGTCCTGGCAAAGCAGTCAGTGTGGCCAAAGCAGTGGGCAAGTGAAGGACCAGATTTAGAATTTAATTCTAGTCATGATGAGAAACCACTGGAGTTTGTGGGGGACAGGGAAATGAGAAAATCTGCTTTGCCCTCTTAAAAGGCTTCCTGTTATGCAAAAACTAAATCACAGGAAGGCAAAAGTAGAAAAAGGAGAACAATTATAAGCTATTGTAGTCACCTGTGCTAGGATGGTAGTTGTGGTAGTAGTTAGAAGTATAAGATAACTCTGGATATTCAAGTTAGAACCACGTGGACTCACTTAAGGATTAGATGCAGGTTATAAAAGTACATTGAAGATGGCACCCAAAACATTTGCTCTGAGCAACTGGATGAATGAACAACTGGTGTTGGGTAATCAAGGAGTTGACTTGGAATATTGAGAAATTCATATCAAGATGTTGAATATGAGTTTTGAGAGGTTTGGGGCCTAGAAATATTCAGGACTAAAATGCTGATCATATTCAAAATCATGGGATTGGATCAGATCACCCAGGGAAGAACACAGCTAGAGATGAAGTCTGACATCCAAGACCTGGAGAAATCAGCAAAGGATACTGAGTAGTGACCAGTGAGATAGGGAATCCATAGAATCCATTCACTACCACCACCCCATCCGCACCTTAAGTTGGAATCCATTTCTCACATGGGCCACTCCAACAAGCCTCCTTACCATCTCTTGGTCCATATATGTTGTTCATTGCATTGAATGTTCTTTAAATGGTAACTTTATTAAGTGAGCCACCAACCCCACCCCAAACAATACAGCCTTTTTTTTTTTTTTTTTTTTTTTTTTTTTTTTTTTTTTTTTGTGAGACGAAGTCTCGCTCTGTCGCCCAGGCTGGAATGCAGTGGCGCGATCTCTGCTCACTGCAACCTTCACTTCCCGGGTTCAAGCGATTCTTCTGCCTCAGCCTCTCAAATAGCTGAGACTACAGGCGCATGCCACAACGCCTGGCTACTTTTTTATTTTTAATAGAGACGGGATTTCACCATATTGGCCAGGCTGGTCTCAAACTCCTGACCTCGTGATCCACCCGCCTCGGCCTCCCAAAGTGCTGGGATTACAGGCACAAGCCACCACACCCGGCCCAACACACAGCTTTAAAACCTTCAATAGTTTGCAACTGTTCTTAAGAGACAAAACATGGGATGCAACTATTATGCCGTCCATAGTAGCCTTTACCTGTTTCTCTAACCTGTAACTCTGCTAGTCCTTTCTCTTTCCACTTGATCCTGATAACTTTCTCAGTCACTGGTGATCAGATGTTTAGGTATGTTCTTCTCTCCCTTTCTTTGACTAGTCTGCTACTCCTCATCCTTCAAATCTAGCTCAATTACCCCTTTCAGTTAAGTCTCCCCTGATCATTTTAACTAGGGTATACACTCAGTCATGGCTTTAATATCTGCCATCAACCACATTGCTCCATCATGGCATCTGCTACACTTTGGTGTCATCAGTCTTTGATTAGACAGTTCAATGAAAGCAGAAACCACAGTAATTTTTGTCACCACTAAATGCCTAGTGCTTGGCATGATGCTGGGCAAAGGATACCCTAATTTGCTGAATAAAGCCTTAGTTTAGTTGCTTAATACAGTGTGTCTCCCTATTAAACACAGTACTTAAAATTGGTATTTCCAAATAAGCATTAATACACAAATGCCTTTGCTAGATGATCAGGAACAAACTGCTGATCTTCCACTGCCTCTACTCAAAACAGCCGTACTGCTTATGTAACTGGATTAAGCTTCAGAACAGCTTGTTAAAAGTAGGATATTAGTAGCAGAAGCTGAGAAGTGTATTAGATGAGGCTATCAGATTGCTTTTATAAACCTTTTCCTCTCTTCACACCAGTAGCACTTCTTCACCTACAGCTTTTGCTGGATGGTTTTTAACAACTTAAGCAGACTGCGTTCAAGGACAGTGAGAAAACCAGACTTTCATATTATTTAATCTAGTGTAATTTTAAACATTCACTAGTCTTTTGCAGTATTTTTGTAGGATTCAAAATGGAAAAAGGTATGAAGATGAGCCTTAACAATTTACTTTCGTTTTCCTGAGGGGTCTTCCTCCCCGTTAACTCCATAAAAAGGACAAGATCAAGGGCAATACTGATTCTGTGAAATCTAACTTATAATCAACTAAAATTTAGAATGCTTAAAAACAACCCAAGTGGAATGCAGATTCAGGAGCTTAAACATAAAATGAAGGGTTTGAATTCGGCACTTATCTGCATTCCACTTCCTCTAGTTATATGACGGAAAATATAATGAACAAATGTCCTAAAACACTTAGGAAGCTGACTGCTCAACTAGTTGTTAACTCATCACCTCAGTTAATGAACCTTCTGAGAATAAGCACACATTCTATGTCTCCTTTAAGTGGAAAAGTCTCCCACGTAAGAGCTGCATATAAAAGGAGACAAAAGAACTGTAGAAGCTAACTGATTAGAAATACTTAAAGGATATTTGTTTTAATATCAAGGTACAATGATTGAAAAAAAACTTTTCCATATTTTTTAGGAATTATTAGGATCTGGAAATAAAACTGCCCTAATCAAGGTAATCAATAACATTCTACCTTTTTAAGTTTTAAAAAAGAAGTTTCATATCCACATGAGATGATTTATATTATGCATATACAAAAGTATTTTGTATGTGAGCTTGCTACACCAAGAGGCTACAGTGACATGTGTGACAATCATTTCCTTGAAACTCTGCTAAAATATGCATTTGACCAAACAAAAGGCCTTCTGCAGCTAGGACAAGCAATCACATATTATACAGAATGCTTAGAACCAAGATTCAGATCTTAATGAGACTTATTGAAAAGTTCTCTGCCCCATAATGAGGCACCCCTTTAAAAATATGGTCTGAGTAGAGACATAAAAGATATACATTTAAACTGTGATGGTAAAATAACCAAAAAAAGAAAAATTATAGTTCAAAAAAAGGAACAATTCTTTGAAAAAACATACATAGAAACAGTCAAACTATGAACACCTTTACACATTCACAACATCTGCACTAATGCATAGAAGTTCAAAACCTAGAAGGCATTTTCTCCCCCATCCCTTCTCTGAAACTGATTCAGAGGTCACTGTGTGAAGAACTTACTTCAGTCCTGATTGTAAATGTCATGAAATTATTTTCTACACAGATAGCAAATTTAGTTTTATATAGGACTGCAAGCATACATCATCTAGGGATTACCCAGTAAACCACAAATATTTTATCCATTCCCCTAAGATACAGGTAACATATGGTTGTGGTACATCCCAGGCAGATGTCATTTAAAGCACGCAAGGGGAGGTGCTAGCAAAAAAATACTCATTTGCCAAAGTAACAGGTTAACCCTTCCAATATGATGTACCACAACCACACATGAGAAAAGTCAAGAACTTATTTTATTTTATTTTAAAATAAACATTGAAGATCCCCCATTTCCCACCACCCTACAAAACTTTTGAATGTGGAATGTTCAACAGCCTATCCATTTTGGTAGGTTACAAAACCAGCAAAAACTCCAGTTGTCTAATGATGAATGTTTGAGAATAGTTTTGTTTTTAAATAGCTGAGCACCTACTGGAAGAATTCCTGGGCTAAATGCTGAAAATAAAATTTAATTTCTGCACAGAAAATACCATTAACTTAGTAGCCTTTGCTTAAAGGTGGGATTAATTCTCCATGAAGTCAGAATGAGACAATAAGCAGCATTAACTTCCTAGGCACACAGAACTAGTGCTCAAACTGCTAGCACAAATTCCAACAGAGTACATAAGGCTAAGTCACTACTCAAGTGTCCATTTCCATCAAATTTAGAGACTCTCCCTATGCATCTAAGGGAAGGAATTATCACTGAATATAAATGCCTCCAGGAGAAACGGAGAATTCAGTTAAGGTTAAATTAGACAAAAGATAATAAGTGCAAGTACTAGAGAAATGTTGCTGGAGATAAACCATAAAATTTGTGACACTAACGTGGCATGGGGTGAATCACATAAGCTGCTAGCTGTTGAACACCAGTGTTTCAAGATACAACTTTTATAAACGTTTTATTTGTTTTGCTTATACCATCAGAACTGAAACTACTGTCCGTGATTTCCCTGAAACAGGGAAATCAATCTAAAACACATACTGGTGCCTTTCAAAAGATAGCAATTGAAAAGGGTGGTAGCAGCAGGCATTTGGTATCTTTTCCTTTTAAAAAAAAGCTTTCAAGCTGAAGGAAAAACATGTGACCGAGAGTGTTATGATTATCCACTAGAGATTTTCATCAGTACCTGTACCAATTTAGGTGACAATACAGCAAAATCCAAGGATTAGTGACAGACAATGTACATGTCATAAGGAATGATAGATAGTACCAATCCTTACAAAAGTCATTGTCTCAAAGAAACTGTTAAGTGTTCAAAAAGGTATCTAAATATTTCACATTAAGTACAGAAGCGGCCATCCGGATTACATCCCATATTTGTTGCATATTTTTCAAAAAGTGCCAATCAAAGCCTAATTTTGCATCTTGGCTTTGTCTTATACAGTATCAGCTGTTAAAAAGCATTTTACATGTGTTTTTAACCACAGTTGTTTGGCCAGATGAACAGTGCTGTGTCAAAGCTGGTAGCCAGCCTTATATGTGTGATTAGGACCCATGCATAATTTGGTATGCATCTGAACGTTCAGTGCTCCAATTTAACTGGAAAAGCTGTGAAATGCAGTTGTTCTGCCAAACCACACTCCACTCCTTTCATCTTCCTTTCTAGGGAAATAATTTAGTTTGTCAGTTATCATTGAATAACTCGAGGGCTGATTTGTAGATTTTATCCAATGTCATAAAAGTCAATCTTGCCTTTTTCAAGCCACTTCAAATAACTATGGAGATTATTATCACCCTGTAAAGTATATTGTTTTACTCCTAAGCAAGGGTGAGGAATCTGAGTATCATGTGCAAGGCTCAAGATGACGCTTAGGACAGAACATGCAGAGTAAAAATAGTTTCCTTCCATATCCAGGTAATAGAAAGCTGACAATTGTAGTCCTGTCTTTATGGGATGAAAACAGTCCCTTTACAATAAGTTTCCTGAAAGGGAGAACAAATAGATAATAACTCTTCTGGTAACATATTATGGTACACTGGCCAGTGTGTTTTTGGCGATTAAACATAATCCTGTGAATCAGATTAATTCACTTGCTGAGTGTTCATTTGCGGCATCCCTCTGTTGGGTCTTGGGGGCCCTCCACGACCTAGAAGACAAAAATGGCATTTGATTTTTCTTTCAAATATTATTTGTTTTGCCTTCAAGCAGATTTTCATCTGAAGTCAAGAAGCATGTGGGCAGCCTGTCACCACATTATTAGGCTTAAGAGGTCAATTCTTCAGTGTTCAAGTTTCCCCTGTCCTGGAAGTTGTCATGCGCAAATTTGCTCATGTTCTCTTAGCTAAAAGAAGAGTAAAGCTAATGGAGTATTCCACCAGTACTCATTCATTCATTCATTCAACAAATATTTATTGAGTGCCTACTATGTGCCAGGCACCATCATCAAGCGTTGGGAATAGATACAGCAGAGAAGACAGACAAGGTACCTGCTCTCATGGAGCTTACATTCTAGTGTACACTCTAGCTTACATTTCAGTAGTAAGTAACATCATACTATCAAAATTAATAAAAGCACCAGAATGAAAACAGACCTTATTACCTAAACTGTTAAAAAGAAACTACATAACATTCAAAACTGTATAATGACTTTTAACAGATAAAATAACTTTTTACATGCTGTTAAAACAGATTTTTAGCTATCAGTTAACTCAACTTTCATCGAATATGCTACAAGGTGGGAAAGAACATAACCCACATTCACATGCAAACATCCTTTGATACTTCTAGTCAAGTCAGTAATTCCCAAGTGATCCATTAATTTTTAGAAAAATGTACCTTTTTCCTGGCCAGTTTCTACTAGTATTCAAATCAAAGTACGTTGTAATTCCTCCTTAACACACATTTTATACATGTTATGGCCAATAGAGGAAACCTGTTTGATGTTTAACCTCCCTCAAATCAGAGAACCATTTAGAATTTCAGACTACATGAAATGCTAGCTCTAATTGTTAAATAGGTTAACTTCCTGCCAAAATGGGAAGTAGTTTTCCAACAGTAAAAGAAAAACAAAAAACTCTCTAAACCTGTAATTTTTTTTAAGTATAGCTCAATAAGTTAGGAATTTGGGAGTTTTGTTTAAAAGTCAGAAATAACTTGATATTTATATCACTAATAGAGGTCCAAAAGGCATTGCAAATTCCATTAGTTCTATCACTTCTAAATGGTTCTCTAAATGTTAACTATGGCTTATCCGGCCATTAAAGGGTGTCTGGCCCTAAAATATAATAGGCATGTTTCAAAAAAATGAAAGAGGAATAATAAATTTATATAAATGTTCAATCTCATTCCAAAAATGTCTTACAAAAATGTTTCAGTAAGTACTTCCTAAAAACATTTAGCAGGTTTTAGGACCTGAAAAATAATTTTCAGTTGGAAAAACACTTTTTCTGAGAAGAGAATATGTTCTAGTTTTCAAGACAGTTTATATAGTAACAGGGAAAATTAAATCATTCAAAAATTAAAATTTGGGTCCAAGATTAAGTTTTAGAAACAGAGCATTTCATTTAATCCCTAGCAACAAGTCTGGAAAGGATAAATGTATTCCTAACATGCAGACTATTAACAGCTCTTCCAAGGCCAGAACAGAAGCTCCACTTAGGAGCTAGGATCACCACCACAAAATATTACCTCGTGGGGCTCCCCGTGGTCCACTCTGCCCAGAGCCTCGCTTGAAATTCTGCTGATATCCATCCTAAAAGACAAGCTAGTTAGTATTGAAAAGGTACTTTTTAAAAAATGCTTACCCATCTATTCTTTCAGTCTAACACTCAATACAGAATTCTTCCTTAATCTTTTAGACACTTCAGTATCAGTTTATCACAGCTACACCTTGTTCTGTAATTGTTGTACTTCTACTATTCTCAAAGAACATTCAGTGAAATATATTTCTCTGCTCTTGGAAATCACTGTCTTTAACAGGCTTTACTAAAGGAGTACTGATGTTGAGTGCTAAAAGCTTTTGTTTCAACAGAGTGTCTTGGACACCACAAAGTTAACGCCAAATTAGTTACTTAGGTTCATTAAGCAACAACACTAAGTCACTTTCATTGGTATATTTAGTTCAGGTTTACACTTTAGAACTACTTTACCTACCCGTTGATAGCCAGAGTAATCCCGGGGAGCACTGAACTGAGACTGTGTATAACCACTGTTTGGAGTGTTAGAGAATGAAGGGCGGTAACCATCATATCCTCCTAAAATTTAGGACAAGAAAAGAAATAATTTTCTTATCTTCACAAGGAATTTTTACTTTTTTATTAATGAAGACGGGAAGAACTAGAAATTATAAGCCAGGCTAGTTAATCAAATTAATCTCCAATTTCCTATCTTGATCCAATCTGTTTATAAATTTCTGTAAGTACTAACTGCCCCTCAGAAGATAAACTTTTAACCCATCTATGCATGTAAACACACATCTGTACAAATATAATAAACAATCCCCGTAAGTTTTGGTAATGTGGAAAATACTTATCCTCCAGGAGATAGTGGTAGACATTAATTTGACATAACCAAATGAACAAAAATTCCATGATCTGTTATTTAAATAACAAATTATACCAAATACACAAATTGTACCAAAATATACATTGTTTAAATTGCACATAGGAGGCTAATGCAGATACATCCTTCCCAAAAACTGTGTGATATATTTTACAAATCAAAAAATAATTTGAACTAGTAAAAGGTCATTAGAACCTCCTTTTTTATTTTTTTACCTCTGAATCCATTGGCAGGGCCCCGGTATCCATTCATCAAGCCTCTAGCACCACGGGAGCCTCCACGAGACACACCACGACTATTGTAATAGGGCTGATTGCTACGTGGAAATCCAGTGTTCTGCTGAGGAGGCTGCTGGTGGTTACCAGTCACTTGATGGGACTGGTCTGGGGAACCATGGTAAGTGCCAACCACTATAATTTAAAAAAGAAAAAGATATATACATAAACAGCTCATTACCGTTTGTTCTCCCACGCACTTTCTAGTTTAAGAAGTGTCTTATACAGTCTCCTTAAAGTTTAATCCTTAAATTTGCATACAATGATAAGAAAAACTACACATGAATAAAGTCTCTTACCTTTCTCCTACCCTTAGACTCAGCTATTGGGGGTAAAATTCTCCAACCACAATTCCAAACCTTTGAAAGCAGGGTGCATGATTGATCCTTCCAAACAAATTATTTGAAAGGCTATATTAACGTCTTCTGAAAGGCATCTACTTTTTAGCACAAGAGACCCAAAATAACTCAAAAGATTTACTCTTAGTACATTACCATTTTGTACCATTTAATTACTTCTTTTCATTATAAAGCTCCTTAGTGGTAGAAGTTTTCTTATTCTTTTAAATATCCTTTTTTTTACTTAGTAAAACATACAAAACCACTCTCTCATATTTAAGCAGCTAGATGGTAGAATATGTCATCAACTACATAGTTTAATCAGCAGAGGCCTTCGACTTGTAGCCCTTAATGCCAAATTCCATTTCAAAGTATTTAAAATGGCAAGTATAGCCAATTTAGAAAACAATCACATGGTACTCACATTGGCACTCAACCCACTTGAAGGTTCTAGACTAAGGTACACACTAACATATATACAAGCTCCATCCACAATGGACAGAGTTCTAGAATCTAGAAATTTTCAAAAATTCAATACTACAGAACAATGTTTATAATTCAAAGAGGAGAAAAAAATAGGGTGCTAAAAGTACCTTTGGGAGGTGAGGAAGGCAACAGAACAAAGGAAGGCCCACACACTAACAACAAGGGTCAGAAGCTGCTGGCCAACCCAAATCTCCCCTTTTGGGGCAGAGAGAAAAGCAGCTGTATGACTCTTGAAAATCTTTACTTGACCTATTTTACACCCTTAAGAAACTCCAAATACATTAATAGTTGTTAGAATCCTATTTTACGATGAAAGCACTAGGGAATACCTAGAGAAAAAGAGAGAGCCACTGCTCCTCTTGAATTACTTAGTAAACCAACTACATCGGTGTCATCTTTTTACATAGATTGCCTTTTATTATATTCCCAAAATTTAAAATTGTAAGTGAATGACAAATACACATAACATTTTCCTTGTAAAATGGTTCATGTGTATCCATGTACAAAGTAGCCAAAAGAACTGAATTTTAGAATCATTTTATCAATAACAGCTTTTAATCTTGATCAAATCTCACTGTAAGAAATTCATAGCCAGGCTGGGTGTAGTGGCTCACACTGGTAATCCCAGCACTTTGGGAGGCCAAGCTGAGCAGATTACTTGAGCTCAGGAGTTTGAGACCAGCTGGGCAACACAGTGAGACCCCATCTCAACAACAACAACAACAACAAAATACAAAAAATTAGCCAGGCATGGTGGTGCATGCCTGTGGTCCCAGCTACTTGGGAGGCTGAGGTGAGAGGATGGCTTAAGCCTGGAAGGAAGAAGTTGTAGTGAGCCGAGATCGTACCACTGCACTCCAGCCTGGGAGACAAGAGCAAGACTCTGTCTCAAAAAATGAAAGGAAAAAGGAAAGGAAAGAAAGGAAGAAACTCACAGCATAATAACTTAAGTGTGATCTTTATTTTATTTAATTTTCACTTTTAAGACAAGGTCTAGCTCTCTCACCCAGTACTGCTGAGGTTGGAGTTCAGTCAAATAATCTTGGCTCACTGCAACCTTGAACTCCTGGGCTCAAGTGATCCTCCGGCCTTAGCCTCCTGAGTAGCTACAACTACAGGCATTCACCACCTCACCCTGCTAATTTCTGTATTTATTTTATAGAGGTGGGGCTCTGTGTTGCCCAGGCTGGTCTCAAACTCCTGGTCTCAAGTGGGCCTCCCAAAGAGCTGGGATTACAGGCGTGAGCCACCACACCCAGCCTTCATTTTATTTTAAAATACCCAAATTCCTACTTAAATTTTGGTAAAGTATAAACTTGTAGGCCATTTTAAAAAGCCAAAGATTCTGTCATGTTGTTCCTGATTAGACACTAATTCAAAATAAAATTTCTAAAATGATGGGACATACTGAAATGATTTCTTCAACAAATATCAGGCCGGGAATGGTGGCTCACGCCTGTAATCCCAGCACTTTGGAAGGCCGAGGCGGGTGGATCACCTGAGGCCTGAGGCAGGAGGCCGAGGCAGGAGAATCGCTTGAACCCAAGCGATTGAACCTAAGAGGCGGAGGTTGCAGTGAGCCGAGACTGCATCACTGCACTGGACAACGGCCCACAATGTATACATATTATTTCATCATGAACGCCTGGCCTCAAGCAATCCTGCCACCTCAGCCTCAAATGTAGCTGGGATTATAGGTGCCAGCCATGAAGCCCGCCCACAACGGACACACATTTCAACACATCATGCTGTATACCATAAATACACATATATATAGTTTCTACTTCTCAATTAAAAATAAACAAATGAACTTTTTTTAAAAAAATAGAAAAAGCAATCCATGTACTTATCAGTGGGAGAAAGTTTTCGGCAAGAAGGAAAGTAAGTATGAAGGCCCTGAGATTAAAGAGAACTTGCTGCGTATGTGACTGGTGTTCGAGACCAGCCTGGACAATATGGTGAAACCCTCTCTCTACTAAAAATACAAAAAAAAAAAAAATTAGCCAGGCATGGTGGCCTGTGCTACTTGGGAGACTGAGGTAGGAGGATCCCTTGAACCCAGAAGCAGAGGTTACAGTGAGCCATGGTGATCACACCACTAGTTTTTATCATTTGGAAGCTGAGCATAGTATAACTGATAACTTCTATCAGAGTATGGAAGATTCGAGCTTCATATTAGTGATACTGAATACTACAGGATGTGTAAGAATTTACTACTGAAAAATCTAATGCTGATCCAAGTTTACCAAGAAATTGAATAATTAGAAAATTTTACAACTTTTCAAAATCGGGCTGACAAAATGAAAGTATTAACTCCTCTGACTGCTGGTTTGTTGTGGGATTCCAATTAAATTCTGAGGAATTAAAGAACTAAAGAAGACATCATGGTGGCTCATGCCTATAAGGTAGAGGTGGGAGGACTGCTGGAGGCCCTGAGTTTGAGAAAAGCCTGCAGTCCAAGCTACTTGTGGGGAGTTAAAGGCTCCAGTACAGGATTTGAGCCCCAGAGTTAAAGGCTCCAGTATCTGATTACACCACTGCACTCCAACCTGGGCAACAGACAGAGACCCCATTTCTTAAAAAAATATATATATAAAAAAAAATCTAAAGTATCTCTATCGAGCTAGACAAGGTAGTTCATGCCCATAATCCCACCACTCTGGGAGACAGAGACAATAAGTTCGCTCAAGGCAAGGAGTTGGAGATCAGCCTGGCATCATAGTGAGCTCCTGGAGACCCTATCTCTACAAAAAAAAAAAAAAAATTAGCCAGCCATGGCGGTAAGCACCTGTAGTCCCAACTACCAACTACTCAGGAGGCTGAGGGAGGAGGATCATTGAGCCCAGGAGTTTGAGGCTGCAGTGAGTTATGCTGGCATCACTGCACTCCAGCCCGGGCAACAAAGTGAGAACCTGTCTCAAATACATAAAAGCGTCCCTACCTACATTACTATCGTGACAGGTATGGTAACTAGCCAAATTATGACCTTACTTGACAAAATAGATTATGTTTCAACCCAGTCCACGAAATGCAGCCACCATGAGTTTTTTCTTAACTTTGTCTAACTGACTCAATGCCAGATATCATGCTAAAAGCCTTCAATCAATTAACAATTAAAAGTATAGTTTATCACCAGGTGCAATGGCTCACGCCTTTAATTCCAGCACTTTGGGAGGCTGAGGTGGGCAGATCACGTGAGCTCAGAAGTTCAAGACAAGCCTGGGCAACATGGTGAAACCCCAACTTTACCAAAAATACAAAAAATTAGCTGGACGTGGTGGCACATGCGTGTATTCCCAAGCTACTTGGGAGGCTGAGGTAGGGAGGATTGCTTGTGTCCAGGAGGCAGAGGTTGCAGTAAGCCGAGATCACGGCACTGCGCTCCAGCCTGGGTGACAGAGTGAGACCCCATCTCAAAAAAAAAAAAAAAAGTACACTTTATGGTAATTCAAGTAACAAATTTAATTCCATATAAATTATACAATGCAACAGGGATATTATGTAAGTTCAGTGACAAAAGGAAAATGGCTATAAAGCCTCCAAAAATTGCACATAATTCACATATACAAGTACAGACTCAATTTAACTCATGATCTGAAATGAAAAATTCATATGGTCTGCTACTAAAACAGAAACTCTTGGACACCACCACTCTGAAGTCTAAACTGTCCTAACACTGTCAATAACTGTGCTGGAAAGCAAGGAGCCAATGAGGTGACACTGGATTTCGTACCTGTTTGAAGCTGTTCTTGCTGAAGCTCTGTTTGTTCTACTTGGTGAGGCTGACTAGAAAAGCTCTGGTTATAACTGGCCTGGTACTGATTTTGCTGTTTTAAAGTTTCTGGTTCATTAACAGGAGGAACTGGGGCATTCATATTGAACACCTGTTAGTAAATAAAGTAAATGATTAGTTCATCCTTTTATTCTCTGGTTTATAACATGGCCAAACTCAATGGTGGTTTTACCTCAGACATAAATAAAGACATCACAGAGGTCTCAAACACAAAAACATCACACACACATACAAAAATCCCTCCAAGTGATTCAATGTGGAAAAAGACATATATACCATATAGTACTTAAAGGGGAGTATAATATGCTGTGAAATGGAAGTAGGGAATTAAAAAAAATAAAAAGACATGCAATCAGCAGCCTTGGAAATGCTTTTACATATATGAGAAATCTTTTTAAAAGACAAACTCTGGCCTGGCACAGTGGCTCACACCTGTAATCCCAGCACTTTGGGAGGCTGAGGCAGGCAGATCATCTGAAGCCAAAAGTTCAAGACCAGCCTGGCCAACATGGTGAAACCCCGTCTCTACTAAAAATACAAAAATTAGCTGGGCATGGTGGCTTATGCCTGGAGTGTCAGCTACTCCAAAGGCTGAGGCATGAGAATCGCTTGAACCCAGGAGGCGGATATTGCAGTGAGCTGAGATCACGCCACTACACTCCAGCCTGGGCGACGGAGCAAGACTTTGTCTCAAAAAATAAATAAATAAGACAAACTCCTGGATGCAGTACCACTTACAGAAGTTTGTTCTATGAACTTTAACAGGGTTGAATGTTTTTTCATTTTTATTAACATATTAATCAAAAGTTATTTTAATATTTAATCTTATGAACTTTCCTCTCAGCACCGATTTAGCTGCACCCCACAGATTATAGTATTATTATTATTTTCTAGAAATTCTCTAAAGGTGCTTGCTCAAGAATCAAGGTAAAGCATAACATCTGAAACTTCAAAATACTTCAGTAAAATAAAAGATTAAGCAAACAGGGCAACTATTAAATCTAGGTAATGATTATATGGATGTTATATTAGTCTATTTCTCTGAATGTTTAAGCTTTTGTTAATCAAATCAAAAGGGTAAAACTACAAATTAAGATGATACAGGCACATCACTCATAAGGCTAAAATTTATCTCTAGAATATCCGTTAGTATCAGTTAATCTCTGGAATAATCAGTTTATGTTCAATTAAATATACCCTACAGTTAATGAAAGATGCAGACTCAAGCACAGTTAAATGAAGACCTTTAAAAAAGAAAAGAAAATCTACCATGATTCATATTACATACTAGGCAATTAATGTTAGTTAATTTGCTTACCGTTTGCATGGATTGGAATGGAGCTGCATTTACATTGATTCCACTGCTATGTAAAGGTTTGCTTGTCCCAGCCTGAAATACTTGAGGCTGAGACGCAGCAGGAAGGGATGATGATGCTGTAGTCTGGTCTGTATTTAAAGAGATTGTTGCCTAAACACAAAGTGAATAGATGCACTTTAGCGGTAAACTAAACTTAGCCAAACAAAAAGTGAACAGATGTACTAAAGTGGTAAATTAATCTCAAACTTATATGTATTAACAAACTCAAATATTTCATGAAAGCAAAGTAGGTCCAAAAAGAAGAATCATTATATTAATGGTAATGTACATCTGTTCAATTCATGAGTAAGTGCCTCATCAAATGTATGTGACCCGGTAACAGAACTTGCCTGAATCTGATCAATTGGTTCCTTCTGTGGTCGTTGCTCTGTAGCATGAGAAGGCTGGTACAAGGGTTGAGATGCTGTGTACCCCTCACTTGTGGATGATACCAAAGGAACCTAGACATAAGTAAAGAAATAAAAGCTTCTTCCTGCTTACAAAATTGACTGTTAAAAAAACAAGTTACCTCTAAGACGCATAAGGCTAAGAAATAGATACAACTGCTAAAGAAGGGAGAAATTAATATTACCATCTCTCTTTAAATTTGTATAATATAAAACCTAAAAATTGCAAAAATATATATATTTTTGAAGCTCGACGTTAAATAAACCCAAGTCTCGTTATAAAAGCCCTCCACAAGTACTTCTAAGATGGAGAAATCTGCACTAAATTTTAGAATTATGTCTAAACTATGTCTTCTGAAATTCTCAGTTCTAAATAAAAAAGGCTTATTATATTATAATACATTATTTAAAATGCAAGACTTAAGAAAAACTTAAAAAGTCATCAAGAGGAAAAATGAACCTAAACATAAAAATAAAGGCTGACAGCTATCCACAACAATAAATTTGCTGAATTCCAACAGAAGACTTGGACACTGATGAAATTCTTATTTTCTTTCATAAGCTAAGAAAGAAACCAAGGAACCAATTAAAACAAAAGTGAAAAAATATTTTTTAATTATTTTTTTAAAATAGAGATGGTGTCTCGCTACACTGCCCAGACTGGTCTTGAACTCCTGACCTCAAGTGATCCTCCCATCTCAGCCTCCTAAAGTACTAGGATTATAGGTACGAGCCACCTAACCTGGCCCTGAAGAAAATAGTTTTATCACTCTTACCTGTGTCGCTTCTGGTTGTACAGGAACTTGATTAGGCTGAGCAAGTCTAGATTCAGAATGAACTGCAAAGGTGACCAAAACATTTTTGTCAAACAAAATTAAATTTTTAGAGAGACGCGTCTAAATACCTTTTATTTCGCTATTAAAGGCTTTTTTTTTTTTTTTTTTTTTTTGCGGGGGGGGGGGGGGGGGGAGTGTCTCACTCTGTCACCCAGGCTGGAGTACAGTGATGTGATCTTAGCTCACTGCAACCTCTGCCTCCCAGGCTCAAGTGATCCTCCCACCTCAGCCTCCCAAGTAGCTGTGACTACAGGTGTGTGCCACCACACTCGGATAATATTTGTATTTTTAGTAGAGACAGGGTTTCGCCATGTTGCCCAGGCTGGTCTCAAACTCCTAGGCTCAAGCAATCTGCCCACCTCAGCCTCCCAAAGTGCTGGGATTATAGGAATGAACCACCATGCCCAGCAATTAAAGGTAAATTTCTATAGCCAAACCATAAATAAACTTTTTAGCAATCATGAAAGTAAATTGGGAAATGCAGATAAAATTTTAGCTTTCAAGTGAGCATTTTGGTTTACCGGCAGTGGTTATTATTTAATAGTTTACTTTCACAATTGGTTTCATCTTGTTTTTTCCAAAAGTAAAGTAAAATGTTAATAGAATGCACTAACAAATAATCAGTGCCATGAAAAAAGACTTTTAAAGCTGTACAATAAAGTGGCATTATTCATACTCTAGACCTCAGACAGATAGTATTCCATTTTGACCTTTTGTTTCTTCTGAAACAGGGTCTCACTGTGTTGCCCAGGCTGGAGTGCAGTGGCGCCATCATAGCTAACTGTAGTCTCAAACTCTGGGCTCAAGAAATCCTCCCACCTTGGCTTCTTGAGTAGCTGGGACTATAGATGCATGCCACCCTGCCAAGCTAACTTTTTTATTTGACTAATTTTTAATTTTTTTGTAGAGGCGAGGTCTATGTTGCTCAGGCTGGTCTCAAACTCCTGGGCTCAAGTGATCCTCCCTCCTCAGCCTCCCAAAGCACTGAGATTACAGGCATGAGCTACCATACCCGGCTCAATATATGTTAACATAACCAACTTTCAATTTCAAGTGTTTCTAGAGAAAAAGAAAATTTAAAATATGTACTTTTCGGCCAGGCACAGTGGCTCATGCTTGTAATCCCAGCACTTTGGGAGGCCGAGGCGGGTGGATCACGAGGTCAAGAGATTGACACCATCCTGGCCAACATGGTGAAACCCCATCTCTACTTAAAATACAAAAATTAGCTGGGTGTAGTGTGGTGTGTGCCTGTACTTTCAGCTACTGGGGAGGCTGAGGCAGGAGAATCCCTTGAACCCGGGAGGCAGGGGTTGCAGCGTGCCGAGCCAAGAATGCGCCACTGCACTCCAGCCTGGCGATAGAGCGAGACTGCGTCTCTAAATAAACAAATAAATAATATATACTTTTTAACAGCCTATATTCAACTCAGCATGCATCTTCTTAACAATTCCCATCACTCTCTCACCTCCCTTCCCAACAATGATTAAACAGATAATCAAAACGACGATCTTTGGTTAGTCATTTAGAAAGTACCCATTTTCACTGGAGAGTCTAATGGACTCAGCATTATGTAAATAACTAAATAGCCTTACAGGTTTTATCAGTGCTATGTATACTGACTTTCACACAACTCCCCAGCTGAGAAAACGACTTACTCTCTTCCTTTGGTAGAGCTCAGAAAATGAACACTAAAAACCATGATTGCTCTCTTGTAGGTGTCACCTTTGATCTGTTTTCTAAAACTCTTGATAGAAATGTGAGAGCCGGGCGCGGTGGCTCACGCCTGTAATCCCAGCACTTTGGGAGGCCGAGGCGGGCGGATCACGAGGTCAGGAGATCGAGACCATCCCGGCTAAAACAGTGAAACCCCGTCTCTACTAAAAATACAAAAAATTAGCCGGGTGTAGTGGCGGGCGCCTGTAGTCCCAGCTACTTGGGAGGCTGAGGCAGGAGAATGGCGTGAACCCGGGAGGCGGAGCTTGCAGTGAGCCGAGATTGCGCCACTGCACTCCAGCCTGGGCGACAGAGCGAGACTCCGTCTCAAAAAAAAAAAAAAAAAAAAAATGTGAGAGATATGAGCTCCCTTTACTTCAGAAAAATCCTAACTACCTTACACCAAATTAACTGTCATTAAACATACTTTTACTCAGCAATTTATTTTATGATATTTAACATCATGCAACATTAAATAGGTTATTTTATTTAGTTCCACTTTTGTGCAACTAAAACTGATGTGTTCTGGGAAAAACCAAGATGACTCACAATCACTAATAGTCCTGGAGAGAAGGTCCACTTAACCCAATGGAAGGCACCAACTGTATTTAGTGCTACTACTTCAAATAATGGTGTAAGTCCAGAAAGAGTCTGAAACTGTCTTGTGGTTTCTCTCTTCCCTTTGCCTCTTACATATTCCCTTACCCACTTCATTGCTGTGTATTTTTTTAAGGTAATAAAATCCAGAAATTCTCCTAGAAAGCTAAAAGCATTCAAAAAAAGGCACCTCTATTATTTTTACTCCTAGATTAATTTTGAAATTTTAAAAGCCAAGCAAAATTTCACTTGTTAAAGTTACAAAAACAGACAAAACTGGTCTATTACAGTTACAAGTACGGAAGTGGTTGCTATCGCTAGGGGTGAGGGTAACTAGTGATTGAAAGGAAACAACGTAGGTTTCTGGGGTACTGGTAATGTTTCATTTCTTAATCTAGCTGCAGGTGTTTTCAGTTTATAAAAACTCATTAAACTTGCGTATATTTTTCTATATCTACATGCCAATGAAAAGTTTAAAAATAAACAGTTATAAACTACATTTTTAATTCAAATCATAGGAACAATAACATTCTTTCTATCAAATTAAAAGACCTAAGAGTCAAAATTAAACAGTCATTAAAATAAACAAAATTTATTTTCACAATCTTTTTAAAACCTGAAAGTACTGGCCTTATATTTCTCTCTCACATAAAAATGTACCACTACTAACCTGGAGGGCAAACCAGCTGGGGCATGTCCATGTTTTGTGTTGGATTCATAGGCTGTGCAGATACAATGGCAGGATCAAGTGTCTGATTTTCAAAATCCAGCATTGAATCCTACAGGTTAAGTTAGGATAGAATAAAGTCAAATAATATAAACACTTAAACTTTCTGTTACAGAGTCTGACTAAAATGAACATACCTGTATGAAATTATAGGGACCCTGCATTTGTGCCATAAGGTCTTGTACTCGCTGTCTTCTCACAAGGGGATCTGCCTGAGCCACTGGAGTCAAAGAGTGGGGCTCTGGTACTGAAGGGGATGCAGCCTGAGGTTGCTGCTGGAGTGAATTTACCACCTAAGGTAGAAAAAAAAGGATTAGAAGGAATAGGAGAGCAAAAAAGCTCCACTCACTACCACCATGATGGGTCCCCCACACTACATAAACCATCTATACTATAAACAGAACGGGCTTTAATGCAGTTACCCAAATGAATTACATTTATGCCAAATTTAACATTCTGAAAAATGTCATCACTTCTACAGTGTTTCAGTTCCATAAGACCACTATGTAGCATTTCATGTTGATTTACTTATTTATTTATTTTTTTTTCTTTCGAGACGGAATCTAGCTCTGTAACCCAGGCTGGACAGCAGTGGCGGGATCTCGACTCACTGCAACATCCATCTCCCGGGTTCAAGCAATTCTCCTGCCTCAGCCTCTCAGGTAGCTGGGATTACAGGCACCCATCAACACACCCGGCTAATTTTTGTATTTTTAGCGGAGACAGGGTTTCACACCATATTGGCCAGGCTGGTCTTGAACTCCTGACCTTGTGACCCACCCGCCTTGGCATCCCAAGTGCTGGGAATACAGGCATGAGCCACCATGCCCAGCCTCAGATTTATTTTATAAGCTGCTTTCAAAGAAAGATTACCTGTGTTTACATCCTAAAATAATGTATTTTTCTTAAAACTGTTATGCCTTCTATAGTAACTGGATTTATATATCTATGTCAAATATATATCTATCTCACAACCTGGTACATAGCACTCAAGAAATGTTAGCTATTATTATCATCAAGATTTGGGTTTTTCCCATTCCATTTTCTCAGCCAACACCATAGGATCAAGCTTTACCAACTCATCTAAACTGCTACAGAAGCCAAAGCTCACTCTATTAGCCTTTTCCCAGCTCTAATAATTTCCTCTGCTTATTGTTCTTAGTAATTCCCTGCTCTGCAAGGAAATCCTATCTTTTATTACATCAAATTTATATTATTCTGTCTGGATTTAAAACTGGACAAGTCATACTGGTTGAAACTAGGCAAAATCAGCTATTCCCTTTATAAACAACACAGATAAAAATCACTACCAAAGCGAAACCAACAATCTGTGTAATACCAACTTCAGGATGCTCCAAAAATTCGTGGAATCTCATGTGGATAGCCTTTAGAAAGGCCCACCTACTAGATACAAAGAACAAACCACACTGGCACAGTGGCAAGTAGTATGCTCTTCTCAAATAAAATCCAAAAAATACTTAACTACAAAGCACTGTATACTGCTTCCCAACTTCTTCCTACTATGTCAATATTTACCTTGCATTCTATGTTCAATAAAACAAATATGTTAATAGTTCATTTCTACTTCTACATCCATGCTATACATCCCTATTACCTGGCTCCCCTAAAAACATACATCCCATCGACTTAGTCAAGGCTCAATGGGTTTGTACACCTCATATATACAGCTGACATTTGAACAACATGGGCTTGAACTGCACAGGTTCACTTATCCTCCAGTACTCTTGAGATGTGAAACACCTGTATATATGTGGGTCCCGCAGATACATGGCACAACTTGAGTATGAGCAGACTTCGGTGTGTGGGAGTGTCCTAAAACCAATGCCCCTGGTATAACAAGGAACAACTGTAAATCACCTCTACTAATCTTTTTGATTGATTTCTCTTCTAATCCTCCTATAACATTTCTGAACTGCATTCTTTAATTCAGCAAATATACACTATTTTGTTGGGACTTCCTGAGCAGTATTTTCATCCCAAGTACCTTTCTGGGGTAAGTGCCTACTCTCTTTACCTTACCAATGGGACATTTTGGTGCTCCAACAGAGGGATGAAGTTGCTGGCACAATTATAACATCTATGGGCCAGGCGCAGTGGCTCATGACTGTAATCCCAGCACTTTGGGAGGCTGAAACGGGCAGATCACTTGAGGTCAGGAATTCAAGACGAGCCTGGCCAAAATGGTGAAACCCCATCTCTACTGGGCAAGAGTGAGACTCTCAAAAAAAAAAAACTTTGCAATCTCTTTGGAAAATGGGTTTTTTTCTTCTTGAGACAGAGTCTCTGTCAACCAGGTTGGAATGCAGTGGCACGATCTCAGCTCACTACAACTTCTGTCTCCCCAGTTCAAGTGATTCTCGTACCTCAGCCTCCCAAGTAGCTGGGATTACAGGCATGCACCACCATGCCCAGGTTTTTGTTTGTTTTTGAAGTAGAGACTGGGTTTCACCATGCTGGCCAGGCTGGTCTCTAACTCTTGGCCTCATGTGATCCACCTGCCTCAGCCCCACAAAGTGCTGGGGTTACAGGCATGAACCACCGTGCCCGGCCAAGAGAATGGTCTTGATATAAGAATAACATATTAAAAGGAAAAGCATATTACCCTCAGCTTACAGCTATTTTCCTGCACCTTGGGGGTGTAAAGAAAGACATCTAAAAGAAGATCAAAAGGAAGGCCAGGACCAGTTGGTAAGGTTTTTAGACTGTATCTTACAGGTAACAAGGCATCACTGAGAGCCTCAAGTACAAGTAACTTAAAGCTAACTTTTCCAATAATTAAGTTGTGACAATGAATAGGATGGTCTGGAGGCAGTCAGAGAGGAGTAATATGAAGAGAGTCACTGAACTAGACATGAGGACCCGAAAAAAATCATCATTATCAGTTGAGAGACAGCATTAGAAAACGCTAGAGGAAGTCTACAGCCTGGTGACCAAACAGCATTAGGGTAAAGGAGGAGTGCAAGATGATACCCCAAAACACAGCTATCAGTGTGGGAGCCCAGATTTTTACAGAGCAACCTAATTTCAGTAAGAGACAAATCATGGTAACAGATTAATCCACAGATAACTTTGTATAAAATAATTTTTTTAGATTGGTTCAGCAAAGCAGGGATCCTATTAAACATCCACAGGGATAAACATTCATTTTTTGGAAGTAACAGTCTGGTGTAATGAGTCTGTTATTATAATAAATGTACTAATAATGCAAAAAACAATCTTAATTTGTTCTCAGTAGAGATAAAAATTACTAACTGAAGACAAAGACAACAACTTTGCAATACAGAGAACTCTTACCTCAACCGTTTCAACTGTCCACTCATCTACCTGCTCCTTTTCACCACTGGTGAACTGTGTTTCTGCCATGAACTGTCTATTTACATACTGCAAAGCAAAGTAAATGTTTGAGACATTTGTTTGAAAGGCAGCAAAGTAAAGGCAGCATTAAATTAAAATCATACCTCTGTTGATTCAACTTCACTTTGCTCAGTGTACTCTTCTGCTGGCTCAGGTTCTAAGAGGTTAAAAAATGGTGCAAAACAAAAGGATTTTTAGGTCAGTGATACTACTCTACTCTGTGTGATATTGGTAGATACACGTCATTATGCATTTGTCCAAACCCAGAGAATTATTAACAATAAGAGTAAACCCATATGTAAACTATGGACTTTGGGTGATAATAATGTGTCAGTTTGGGTTTATCCATTGTTAACAAATGTACCACTCTGGTTGGGGGGATGCTGACAATGAGGGAGGCTGTGCATCTGTGAGGGTAGAAAGTAAATGGGAAATCTCTACACCTTCTGTTCAGTTTTGCTGTGAGCCTAAAACTGCTCTAAAAAATAAAGTCGGCCAGGCACAGTGGCTCATGTCTGTAATCCCAGCACTTTGGAAGGCCAAGACAGGTGGATCACCTCAGGTCAGGAGTTCGAGACCAACCTAGCCAACCTGGTGAAACCCCAACTCTACTAAAAATGCAAAAAATTAGCCGGGCATGGTGGCGGACGCCTGCAATCCCAGCTACTCAGGAGGCTGAGGCAGGAGAATCGCTTGAACCTGGGAGATGGAGGTTGCAGTGAGCCGAGATCAGGCCATTGTGCTCCAACCTGGGAAACAAGAGCAAAACTCCATCTCAAAAAATAAAAATAAAAAATAAAAATAAAGTCTATTTTTAGAAATGATGCCATAAAGTGTAATAAATCTTTTTTAAAGTTAAGAATTCAACTAGGCCAGGCGCGCTGGCTCACGCCTGTAATCCCAGCACTCTGGGAGGCCGAGGTTGGGGGATCACCTGAGGTCAGGAGCTTGAGACCAGCCTGGCCAACATGGTGAAACCCCGTCTCTACTAAAAATACAAAAATTAGCCAGACATGGTGGTGTGTGCCTGTAATACCAGCTACTGGGAAGGCTGAGGCATGAGAATCGCTTGAACCCGGGAGGCAGAGGTTGCAGCAAGCTGAGATCGCGCCACTGCACTCCAGCCTGGGTGACAGAGTGAGACTCAGTGCCCCCTGTCCCCCACAAAAAAGAATTCAACTTAAGGCCGGGCATGGTGGCTCACGCCTATAATCTCAGGACTTTGGGAGGCCAATGTGGGCAGATCACTTGAGGTCAGGAGTTTGAGACCAGCCTAGCCGATATGGTGAAACCCTGTCTCTACTAAAGATACAAAAAAAACTGAGTCAGGTGTGGTGCCATGCACCTGTAATCCCAGCTACTCGAGAGGCTAAAGCAGGAGAATTGCTTGACCCTTGGAGGTGGAAACTGCAGTGAGCCAAGATCATGCGACTACACTCCAGCGTGGGCGACAGAACTAGACTCTGACTCAAAAAAAAAAAAAGGCTGGGCACAGTGGCTCATGCCTGTAATCCCAGCACTTTGGGAGGCCAAGGCGGGTGGATAACCTGAGGTCAGGAGTTCGAGACCAGCCTGACCAACATGGTGAAACCCCATCTCTACTGAAAATACAAAAATTAGCCTGGTGTGGTGATGCGCCTGTAGTCCCCACTACTCAGGAGCCTGAGACAGGATAATCGCTTGAACCCGGGAGGCAGAGGTTGCAGTGAGTCAGGATCACACCACTGCACTCCAGCCTGAGTGACAAACAGAGACTGTCTCAAAAAAAAAAAAAAGAATTCAACTTAAATTCCAAATAAGTAAATAGTTTGCCATCACATAATCTGAATTTACTTACAAACTTATTTATAAAGTTAATTAACAGTGTTTTATATTTTAGAAAGTTTTCTTTACCATTTATTCCAGAATTACTTTAGGTTCAACAGTAGCTATTTCAGATAATGTATAATGCAAATAAAGAGCTACTATATTAAAAGCCCTCTCCCGTCTCATAAGTAGTAGTATGAAGCAGCATACAGATTAAAAATCTTACTTTACTTAGTAAAGTGGTAAGAGGGGGAAAAAGATTGCCTTATATTAATCTCCAACTATTAACTCCACCAATGTACAATCTTCACTTCTAGTTTCAACCTACTAGCTACCAGTTACTAAGTGCTTACCACGTGTCAGGCACTGTATACACACTTGACATATTTTCTAAACGGGGAACCTGAGGTACAAGAGTTTCATTAACTTGCCCAAAGTTACAGAGCTAGTAAGTGTTGAAGCGAAGATTTAAATTCAGGCACTCTGATTCTAACAAAACTTATGCTCCAATGTTTCCTTGTATTCAGAATTTTACTCATCAACATAAGAGTTATCATAAAAGTATTCACAGTTAAGTGTCTAGCTATATAATTAGTGTTGTGCTACATGATAAAATTAACTGGAAAAGACCCCTTGCCTTGGAGGAATTTATAGTTCAAGATTATGGAGCTATAATCTCCCCATGATTAAAACAAAACAAAAGCAACTCATACTATTCCTCCAATGCACTGGCATAGTAAATAGCAAATCTGGGCATGTCAGACAGAAACCTATTTGAAAATCCTTGTAACAGCTGGCCCTCACCCATACTCCTGCCCATCAATACTACTGCAAAAGAACTATCTATCAGTTTATAATAGTGATCAAGACTAGTAAGACAAATGACTACTAAGACAAATATAATGAATACTGGTAGGAATTACTCTTGATAATCTGTCTTAACATTTTGTCAAGGCCGGGCGCAGTGGCTCACGCCTGTAATCTCAGCACTTTGGGAGGCCGAGGCGGGTGGATCACGAGGTCAAGGGATCGAGACCATCCTGGCCAACACAGTGAAACCCCGTCTTTACTAAAAATTCAAAAAAATAGCCGGGCGTGGTGGCGGGCGCCTGTAGTCACAGCTGCTCAGGAGGCTGAGGCAGGAGAATGGCGTGAACCCAGGAGGCGGAGCTTGCAGTGAGCCGAGATCACGCCACTGCACTCCAGCCTGGGCAACAGAGCGAGACTCTGTCTCCAAAAAAAAAAAAAAAAAAAAAAAAAAAAAAAAAAACTTTGTCATGCTTAAAGTCTCTTTAAAAATAAAATCTAGTGTACATATATGAAAACTAAGTAAGTGTATAGTTTAAATTTGTAGCAAAATCAAATAAAACCAGGACCCTAAACTAAAGTTGATATCCACCTAATACTCACCAGCTTCAGGTACCTGGTCTTCAACTGCAGGTGCTGAGGCTGCCTCTTCTTCCTCACACAGCCCATTCTGGTGGTTGTGGGTGCTGTCAAAGTAGTTTGACTGAAAAACACGCTCAACAATTTCCTTTAGAACTTTATCTAAGAAAAAGAACATGAATTATAATGTAAGACTTATCTGAGGATGCCTGGCTTGAAGAAGATCCAACATTCTATAAAATATTGTGATTAAAAAATAACTGTTACTAAAACACATATACACATAAAAAGATTACATTTCACCAAGAACAGAAATGTATTACAGAATGATAGGGAACAAGAAGAATGTAGTTATATTAAACTTTACGGGGTTTTTGTTTGTTTGTTTTTGAGATACAGTCTTGCTCTGAAACCCAGGCTGGAGTGCAGTGGCGTTATCTCAGCTCACTGCAACCTCTGCCTCCCAGATTCAAGCAATTCTTGTTCCTCAGCCACCCAAGTAGCTGAGATTACAGGCGTGTACCACCACGTCCAGCCAATTTTTGTATTTTCAGTAGAGGCAAGGTTTTACCATGTTGCCTAGTGAAGGTCTGACCTCAGGCGATATGCCCACCTTGGCTTCCCAAAGGGCTGGGATTAACAGGCATGAGCCACCATGCCCGGCCTGAACTTTATGTATTTTAAGTAAACTAGTTAGGTGGAAAAAGATGACATTTAACATTTATTCATTCAAAAGTATTTATTCAGCACCTACTACACATTAGACAATATGCTAGGCACTGGGAAAACAAAAAGTTATGTAAAGACACAATATATCCCCTCAATAAGCTTATGGTCTAACAGAAGTGGTATCAAATACAACTACAAAAAACTTACATCTGTGAAAAGTACTACACAGAACTACAATGGACTGGACCCAATCAGAGTGAGGCCACAAAAGGTTTCCCTAGGTAAGTGCTACAAGAGTTGAAATCCAGAAGAGTAGAGGGGAAGAAGTGTTTCAAGGGAGAAGAAAGAGCATTACAAAGTCCTATACAAAAGATGTCAAATACAAGAAAAGGAAAGGAAGCCACTGTGGCTAAAATACAGGGAATAAAAAACAAGCATAGGGAAAGATGTGGCTGGAGAAACTGGTAAAGGCCAGACCATGAATGTCCTTGAAGTTAAGGACAAACTTATATAAAATAAAACTGAGATGAAGCCACTAAAGATTTTAAAGAGGGAGAGGGGTGGACTCAGTTAAGCAACTGCGTCAGACAAGAGAAAGGTATAAAAGTAGAAGAGAAAAAAGTAGACAATCGAAAGATATTCAAAAACAAACAAAAACTATCAGAATTTGGTGTACCAGGGTATTTTTTAAAAGTGCAGGGCAGAGGGGGAGATGTATGAAGAGTTATTACTTTCAATTTTCTTAGCTTGTGTATTATTAATAGATACATAGTAGGGCCACTCCCCGATAGGTCACTGTGAAGAAAAATAAAACTTTGAGGACCATATTGTATCAAAAGCATTGGGAAATTAATCTTAATAAACTACCAACAACTCTTTAGATAATGAACACTTCATATGTTTTCCTTATTTCACTTCAGCGGCTCCTGGCTCAAAACTGTTTTCAAAAAGTTATAGATACAAATCAAATGTACATAAAAACACTAATTTGGGTATATTAGTACCTTCCCATTATAAAGATTAGTACCTTTCCATTGTAAAGATGTTACATTCCTAAGATGTGGGAACAAGATTAGGTAGAAAATAACCCCAAAACAAGCTATAAGCTTAAAGGTTTAATAACACCTTTGTTACTCTTCAACAATGCTCATGAAAATCTGATGAAGCTTGACCTAAAACTACTTTTTTAAGTTAACAAGCTTATACATATAGAACTTGCAGAACTAAAAGCAAAAGGGTAAACACATATTGTACAAAGAAATACAGACCAGAGTAAATGTTAACAAACCAAGAAAATTATTTCTTAAATGAAGAAAGGACAGACAAGGACTGGCACCCATTTCCTTAAAGCAAATATACTCTTCTAAATTTTGCCAATTAAAGCTCATACCATTTTGGTGATTAAAGCTTATAATCCAATCTGATTTCTTTTCAACCAATAGCTAAAAATGCATAAATACAGATACTTTCATTTTATGTTCAAAAATCTACCTTCCTAATGCAACCTTATAAATGGCAAAGATAAGAATCTATTCCCTGATTTCACAGAAGGCTAAAAACGTAAATTCCTATACTGAAGGAGTGAAACGTAAATGTCCCTTTTTAAAAAAATCAGTTCACAGTTGCATGTTTGAGAATAAGGAGCTCACAAAGAAAACTAGACCAAGTATCAGCATATTTTAAATACAGAAAAAAATTAACATCCTCAAATTAGCAGATGTCTAAGACAAACTAAAGAAAAACTAAGGCAATAACCATGAGCAGAATGTATGAAATGCAATAATTGTTTCACAAAACTTCAGCCATAAAACAAACAGTCCCTATCTATTACCAAAAGCTGTGGAAAGTCAATCTAATGTTAATCTGTCCACCTCAAACACAGTTAAGTTACATACAAGACCATGTGAAGTTAGGACTATCATATTCCCAGTTTTAGTTGTTTGTTGCTGGTGTTCTGATTTCCACATTACAGATTAAACATACAAAGAAACAAAAAAGAAATAAACCAAACAGTAAATAGCAGATGAATGCTATGTATACATTTCTAAATTTTATTCAATTAATATTAATTTTAAATAGGAAAACTAGCTGGGCGCAGTGGCTCACACCTGTAATCCCAGCACTCTGGGAGGCCCAGGCAGGTGAATCATTTGTGGTAAGGAGTTCGAGACCAGCCTGGCCTACATGGCGAAACCCTGTCTCTACTAAAAATACAAAAAATAGCCAGGCGTGGTGGCGCATGCCTGTAATCCCAGCTACTTGGGAGGATGAGGTGATAGAAATCACTTAAACCTGGGAGGCGGAGGTTGCTGTGAGCTGAGATCACACTACTACACTCCAACCTGGGCAACAGAGTAGACTCTGTCTCCAAAAAAAAAAAAAAACTAATTTTTTTCTTCCAAGTGAACTATAAACATAAGAAAATTAGTTTTTAAAGATTCCTAGTTATAAAATCAAAGTTATCACAGTGATACTCACAGGTGGTTCCACATACAGGTTTTTCCTTCCCTTCCAGCAGGTCCCACAGGTGAATGGAGGCATGTTCATACTGTTCATTCAACCTTTTAATAGTAAATAGCTAATTAATAACCTTTCAGTTGTCAACTTAAATACTCAGAAGTTTCTATTATCAAATACCACTAATACCTCAAGCTCATGTCCCGTTCAGGGTCTACTAGCTTATAGAATTCATCCAACAATGACAACTCCTCTTCGGACAATATTGGCACTCCATTCAAACCTTGTTTCAGGTCAGTCCGCACTTCATCATCTCCCAATTTGTCCAAAACATACTGTAGCTCAAGTACAGTTTTTAAACGTTTCTGTTCAGCTTCTTCTCTCATAAGCTGCTCCCGACGTGCTGTCTTCTTTATTGTTTTCTGAATCTGCAAAACAATATAAAAGTAAAACACCAAAATTAGTTATATAAAACTTAGTTCAATCCATTTCAGGTCCAGCTTAAATAAAACATGTTTTACTCAATGAGTGAGATATGACCTCAATACACAAAAGGATGATTCCTGACTTACAAATAGTTTTAAACATAATCTATTTTAAGCAATTGTTAAAAATTCAGAACAGCTCTTTCCCTAGAAGGTATTTTACTACTGAACTATTACTGATGAAACAATGTGTTTGGGGCTTGTTTGAAAATAATCTAGAGGGCAAAGGGAGCAAGGAAATGAATGTGGATTTATATGAAATACGATTGACCATGAGATGATAAATATACAAGCTGGGTACAGGTACAAAGAGTTTCATTGTATTGTTTTCTTTAGTTAGGTATATATATCTGAAGTTTTTCATTATGCATATAAAAAGTAAAAATTTAATGAATTTAGAAATTATACAGAAATGTAAAGGCCTAGGCCAATTAAAAAAGAAACCCAACCACAGCAACAATAAAAATCTTACCTCAATCTAGCTCCTCTATGGGCAAATGACCCAAAGTTCTAACTTTGAGTATCTACTAATGACTCACAAGGAAATGCCAAAAACCCACAAGGGCCCCTTTGTCCCAAATAATCCGCTGCCAGTCTCAGAAAGTTATTCCATCTTACTGAAAAGAGTGCCTAATTTGTTTTTATGAATAAGATGATGCTGGTGGAGAAAAATAGATAAAGCTAAGTATGAATGTATTTTTCCCACATTCCTTTTTTTCTTTCCTGGAAAGGCTGAAAGGAAAGCATCAGCCAAACTCAATTATTCCTCTCCCTCTCCCGTGTATCTAACATGAGGTTGGGAATAGAGGAAGGCTAGTCTTCTCAAAAGCCATGGTAGTGCTTTCCTTTCCACCTTTTCCCCCTTCTCAAGCCTCACTAGGATGAACCAAGACACAGAAAACCAAAATAGGGACATATGAAACCTATACTAAAGGGAAAAATGGGGAAGGAGACCTGGGAAGAATGATGAAGGCTGCAAGAACAAGACAAATCTATAATGGTAACAGAGTGTGCAGAATAAATATCTTAGCAATAAATGGCAAGTGATAGCTACAGTGAGCTGAGATCATGCTACTGCACTCCAGCCTGGGTGAAACAGTGAGACTGTCTCAAGAAAAAAAAAAAAGTCTTTTTTAAAAAAATAATTTAAAAAAAGTTTTTTGAGGCAAGGTCTATGTTTCCAAGGCTGGTCTTGGGTCTTGAACTCCTGGCCTCAAGCGATCCTCTCACCTCAGCCTCCTTAAAATACTAGGATTACAGGTATGAGCCACCATGACCAGCCAGGAAGGTGTTTTTTGTTTGTTTTTTGAGATGGAGTCTCACTCTGTTGCCCAGGAGTGCAGTGGCACGATCTTGGCTCACTGACACCTCTACTTCTCGAATTCAAGTAATTCTGCTGCCTCAGCCTCCTGGGATTACAGGTGTGTGCTGCCAAGCCCGGCTAATTTTTGTATTTTTAGCAGAGACAGGGTTTCACTATGTTGGCCAGGCTGGTCTCGAACTTCTGACCTCAGGTGATCCACCCACCTCGGCCTTCCAAAGTGCTGGGGTTACAGGCGTGAGCAACCACACCCTGCCCAGGAAGGTCTTTATAGGTAGGTGGAGGCAGGAAACACAGGAAGAGGGACAGGAATATGAAAGGAAGTTAACAAAGCAAAAGAAGATAAGAAAGAAAGCTATTCTGTATGAAATGAACAGTTCAAGAAGGAAAAAGGTGAAAAGGTAGGCTGGAGCCAGGCTAAAGAAGTTCTTGAATGCTAAACAAAAAGCATGTTTAATAATTGTGTACAGTATACCAAAGGATCAAAGATAAATAACAGCTCTGCTAATGAAGTTAAAGCTCAGAGAAAGGTCCTGAAAATACCAGTGTTACAAGAGAAGCAAAAAAGGATACAGGTATTTTCATTACACAGTGATAGTAACTTCCAAAATAGATGTTACATTAAACTGTATAGCAATCCTGCTTCTATTTTAAAAAAGCAAGAAAAAGAAATTGGGCAGGGTTCATTAAGCTAAGTGGAATAAATCTCTCCTTTGGTGCTATGGTCTGAATGCATCCCCCTAAAATTCAAGTGTTAGAAACTTAACCCTCCCAACGCAATAGTGTTGGGAGGGTGGGCCTTTTGGGAGCTATTTAGAATGAATTAATACTACTATAAAAAGAGCTTGCAGGAGTATGATCACTCTCTCTTGCCCTTAAGCCTTCTACCACCAGGTGAGGACACAGTAATGCAACAAGATGCTGGTACCTTGATCTTGGACTTCCCAGCATCCAGAAGTGTGAGAAACAAATTTCTGTTCTTTATATAAATTATCCGGTCTCAGGCATTCCATTATAGTAACACAAAGTTGACTAAGACACTAGGTACAAAATTAAATTACTTTTTTTGTTTTCAGCAAAGATTTTCCTTCCCTGATCAGATGTAATAAGTAATTCTAAGATTAAGTAATTGAAGCTAGGCACGTTGGCTCACACTGTAATCCCAACACTTTGGGAGGCTGAGGCAGGCCGATCATCTGAGGGGTCAGGAGTTTGAGACAAGCCTGGCTGACATGGTGAAACCCCATCCCTACTAAAAATTAGAAAATTAGACTGGCATGGTGGCGCAGGTCTGTAGTCCCAGTTACTCAGGAGGCGGAGGTTGCAGTGAGCTGAGACAGCGGCACTGCACTCCAGCCTGGGCGACAGAGCAAGACTCTGTCTCAAAACAAGACAAACAAACAAAAATGATTAAGTGCTTGAAATATATTAGTTATGCATCAAATACTGTTCTAAGCACAACCGTATGAGGTTATTATTACCACTTTACAGATTAGAAAACCGAGGCACTGTGATGGCCTCTGCCCATCAGCCCCCTTTCTATCCTATTGGATCTGTTTCTCTGGAAAACCTTGACTAATACAAGAACAGTGAAATTAAGTAACTCATCCATGGTCAAACTACAAAGTCAAGTCACAAAATTAGGATTCAACTGGGCAGTCTGTTTCTAGAATCTGATCTCTTAATCCCTACACTGCATTGTCTCATATAATAAACTTTTTTGTTTCAGCAAATTAGAGGCAACTTTACATAGTCACACATTACTTAACAAGGATACATTCTGAGAAATATGTCAGTAGGGAATTTCCTCATTGTGCAAACATGGAGTGTACTTACACGGCCTAGATAGTACAATCTACTACACACCTAGGCTATGTGGTATAGCATATTAGCTCCTAGACTACAAATGTGTACAGCATGTTACTGTACTGACTACTGTAGGCAACTGTAACACAGAGGTATTTATATATCGAAACACAGAATAGGTACAGTAAAAATACAGTATTACAATGTTATGGGACCATCATCATATATGTGGTCCAAAGTTGACTGAAACATCATTATGGAGTACATGCCTGTATTTCAATGTTATTAGTCTTCTCCAAAGAAGATGACACTTATTCAGATGGCTTAATTTTCTGGCCTCAACAAATTATCTGACTTTGCTTGCATTTAACTTTTGTCCTTATTCCCAAAGGTTTTTGTCACATCAAAAACCCACTATTAAGTTGGATCGAGTGCTGATATAGGAGCACATCAGTTTGCCATACCCCTTAAGGTTCCTAAAGCAGAGAATAATTACCAATTATATAAACGAGCCTCTTTATTTTCTGACAGTTTAAATTGTGAGTCATTAGACATAAGGAACATGATAAATAAAAAACATTTATGTATTTCTAATGACTATCTGATTTTTATGTATTTGCAGAGCTAACATTTTAAACCAATGAGACCTTTAGCATAGCTACTATACATGGTTGTCAAATCTCAAACTTGGTCCTTTTAAAAAAATTTTTAAATTTAATGTTTTTTTTTTTTTTTAGAGATGGGGTTTTATCACGTTGCCCAGGCTGAAGTGCGGTGGCTATTCACAGGAACAATCATATGCACCACAGCCATGAACTCTTGGCCTCAACCTATTGAGGAGCCAGGGCTACAAGCACATGCCACCGCCCCCAATTTCAAACTTAGTATTTTTAAAAGACATCTTTCAGGTGTTACATTTTACTTTACAGAATGTGAAGGCATCTTAGATATAATTGGATACAACTGTCTCACCTTGCAGAGAGCTTATCAATAGTAATGGAAGGACTAAAACCCAAAGAAACAACAAAAGTATTTCATAAATATGTATACTTTCTTTTACTTACATCTTGACTTAGTGCCATGAAACTCCTCTGTAATTCTTTTGCAAACTCCAAATTATTTGTGACTTCCTGGTACTTAGAAACGGCATCCTAAAATGACAAAGAACCCAAACTTTACTGGAAAGACAAAAAACCACAGAATTAATTTTTGTCTTTAAAATAGTGAGCATTAGGTCTAAAATAAAAAATATAACATCTTTACCAGCTGATCTTGATTAAGCCTTTCCCCTTTGTTCATTCGTTCCTGGTAATCATCAAGCTTACCCTATGTTAAAAGAAAAAAAAGAATTACATTCCGTTTTGAAGGTATATACCAGCTTAAGCATGCTTGACAAAACCCTCACAATCCTCTAAGTTTGTCTCAAATTTTGACTTAAATAAACTTTTAAGATATATTCCAGTTTAAGTACATAAATTTTTTTTTTTTGAGACAGAGTTTCGCTCGTCACCCAGGCTAGCGTGCAATGGCACGATCTTGTCTCAATGCAACCTCTGCCTCCCACGTTCAAGCTATTCTACTGCATCAGCCCCTAAAGTAGCTGGGATTACAGGCACTCACCACCACGCCCAGCTAATTTTTTTGTATTTTTTGTAGAGACAGGGTTTCACCATGTGGCCAGGCTGATCTCAAACTCCTGACCTCAGGTGATCCACCTGCCTCGGCCTCCCCAAGTGTTAGGATTACAGGCATGAGCCACCGCGCCCAGCCTAAGTACATAAAACTTTTTAGATATACTCCAACCATTGCTGAATGATATCAAAGGCTGTACTGTAAACCAATGGCACAACATTATTCATTCTTTAGCTTAATCAAGAAAGAGTATTAGATGGACTAGGCATATGGCTCCTACCCACATGGGTAAGGGCCACAATTTGGTTAGGATCCTGCTTATACCCAAGTGAGCATATCAGACATTTATCAAGTTAAATTTTTGCCTCTCCCTCTCCCCAAAGAATTCATGTGACTAGGTGATATAAGAGTATTTTTAGGCTGAACACGGTGGCTCACACCTGTAATCCCAGCACTTTGGGAGGCCAAGGTGGGCGGATCACCTGAGGTCAGGAGCTCGAGACCAGCCTGACCAACATGGAGAAACCTCGTCTCTACTAAAAATACAAAATCAGCTGGGCATGGTGGTGCATGCCTGTAATCCCAGCTACTCAGGAGGCTGAGGCGGGAGAATCACTTGAACCCAAGAGGCAGAGGCTGCGGTGAGCCGAGATCGCACCATTGCACTCCAGCCTGGGCAACAAGAGTGAAATTTTGCATCCAAAAAAAAAAGAGTATTTTTTCGGGCCAGGCACGGTGGCTCCTGCCTGTAATCCCAGCATTCTGGAAGGCCAAGGTGGGTGGATCATTTGAGGTCAGGAGATTAAGACCAGCCTGGCCAACATGATGAAACCCCATCTCTACCAAAAAACACAAAAATTAGCTGGGTATGGTGGTACGAGACTGTAGTCCCAGGTACTTGGGAGGTTGAGGTGGGAGAATCACTTGAACCCTGGAGGTGAAGGCTGCAGTTAGCTGAAATAATGCCAAAACTCCAGCCTAGGCGACAGCGTGAGATGCTGCTCCCCACCCCAAGGGGAAAAAAAGTATTTTTTTTCTGAATAAACTCATGGGCATATTGTCTTTAATGTACTTCATCCATTTATCTTGAACAAGATAGCTACCACCTCACTAATACACAAGTCAACAGCTTTGCTTTGTTAGTTCAAGGGTGAGGACAGAAAACTAACATCTGGTTTAAGATCCCATTTTCTTGCTAAGATTAAAACTTTGCAGGTTTCCCAGGCTACTATTAAGTAAGACCCCACAGATATTCAGGTAATGCAACAGAGTCACAAACTATTATTATTGTAAAGGTCAAGAGGACAGTGAATGAGGATAAATCTAAATTAACAGGACAACACTTAATCCCAATAAATTATGAACATACATAGTTCCTTACCCCCTTACCAATAATAAAATTGTGAAACAAAGTACAAAGTTAAATTCTAATAAAGGGCATTCAGAAACCACAGAAGCCAGTTTAAAAGCAATGGTAATAAGTTTTGTTTTTTCTTTTTTTTTTTTTTTTTTAGGTCAAATGATCTATTTTCTTTGTACCATAAACAAATGTCAACTTGCCTAGCCATTCTACCCCAAATTGAAAACCCTACCACAATTCCTTCCTAACACTGGAGGTAAATAAAACCAAGATAATCACTAAGACATTAAAGGCTTTTAATAGTACCCAATTTTATTATTAGATGAACTATTTCACACCATCTATAAGCCTCCAAATAAACAGGTATAAAATTTCAGTCTACTGATTTGAGGGAAAAAAATTTTTTTTTACACTGATATGACAGACCTGACCCCAGGTGCAGAAGATGTGTCCAATTACCTCACAAAATACTCTGAGGATCAACAGATAGTTCATTCTCTTTTTTAAAAGGGAAGAAAAGGGAAGACTCATAAGCTTGGGAAGCTAAAAATTTTTAAAATAAAAAATTCTATTTGCTTAAAGGGTAGGCTATTTTTAAGAAATAAAAAACTAGACCAGGCCCGGTGGCTCACACCTGTAATCCCAGCATTTTGGGAGGCCAACGTCGGCAGATAACAAGGTCATGAGTTCAAGACCAGCCTGGCCAACACTGTGAAACCCCGTCTCTACCAAAAATACAAAAATTAGCCAGGCATGGTGGCGCGCACTTGTAATCCCAGCTACTCAGAAGGCTGAGGCAGGAGAATCGCTTGAACCCGGGAGGCAGAGGTTGCAGAGAGCTGAGATCATGCCACTGCACTCCAGCCTGGGACAAAGCGAGACTCCATCTTAAAAAAAAAAAAAAAAAACTAAATAAGTTTTGAATTTATGATTTAGGATATTCCAAAATAATAATATTATAATCACAATTCCTCTATTTAAAAATATACAAACAGAAAATACGCAAATAGGAGGGCCTAAAGTTCAGTGCTAGTACACAGTTCATTATTACTGAACAAAAGAAACACTGTTATTAACTTATACCTGGTATTTACTATCTTCATTTTTCTATAGTATTGTACATTTTTCAAGAAAATTGTTGCTAAATCTAGAAATACACCATACATCCCTCATGGGGTAGAGTTTGTATATCTAACCAAAATGGAGGTAGAATCAAACTCCTAAAAAATGTTTGTGTAGCGATGAAAATAAATATAAAAAGATAAACAATGAAAAAGGTAAGAATGGTACCTGAGTGGTAAAATTATAGCCAGAGCTGTGTTCCTTTTGCTTTGTTTTATACACTTAACTACTGTGCAATGAACATATAGTTTGTTTAATGAAAACAATAAGAATTCCACGCAACAGAAAAGATACTAAAATTGACAGACTTCAGTACATTGTTAGGACTCTCACCAATAACAATCCTTAATTATGAACCTATACTATCCTATAGTAGGACAAGCTATCCTAGAGTAGAAAACCTCCAATTTTCTACACAATAACAAATTTAGAATTCATCCAAACCGAGAGCTATCGCAGATTACATTTTCCAAAGATAGCTACAAAATCTGCATGCAGTCTCACATACTGTTCTAAAATGTGACCTTGGCACTACTCCATTAACAACTAGTCTACTTCCCCTGCCATTGTACTTGAGTGAGCTTCAACCAAGAGTACTGTATAAGTGATGCTGTATGATTTCCAAGGCTGAGTCATAAAAGCAATCTATCTCTGCCTTGTTTGCTGGTGATCCAAACACCTTGTATTTGGAGCCTTCAGCCATCATACAAATACAGTAACTCTGAGACTGCCACATGATGAGGAAGCCATGCCATGAAGAAAGGCCTCTTGCTTCTGATCAGCAATCCCTGTGGTTCCACTCATTTTAGTCCAAGCAACAAACATATGAATGAACAAGTCTTAGTCTTCCCACGAGGCCCCCAGTGTCATCGAACAGAAACATCAAAACTCCTGTGTGCCCTGTCTGAATCCCTGACAGGCAGAATCTTTGTGCATAAGAAAATCATGGTTTTAATCCCTTAAATTTTGGATTAATCTGTTACACGGCAATAACTGGAACAAGGTTAAAGGGGAAATGAAAAGGGAAACAGCCAGTATGTGAAACTCAGCTTCATGGTACACATCTTCATGGAACATTATGACAAAAGAAAGTATGCAAAAAGAACTCTGCATAGCCAAAATAAAGATCTACACATTATGGCCAGGCATGGTTGCTCAGGCCTGCAATCCCAGCACTTTGGGAGGCCAAGGCAGAAGGATCACTTGAGGCCAGGAGTTCAAGACCAGCCTGGACAACATAGTGAGAACCTGTCTCTACAAAAAATTTAAAAATTACCGAGGCGTGGAAATTTTTTAACTTAGTGCCTATGGTCCTAGCTACTTGGGAGGCTGAGACAGGATGATCACGAGACCACAAGTCGGAAGTCGTGATGTGCACGACTGCTCTCCAGCCTGGGTGACAGCACAGTATCTTGGCCAATAAAATAAAAATTAAAAAAAAAAAACAACTGTGCATTTTATTAAAGCTCACATGCCTATTTATTCTGATTTAGTATTACTATTAACATATTTCTCATGTTTCAATCCAATAACTGAGATTTTTAAAAGGTGAAGAACTGATGAGTTTACTGTAAGGAAATAAGTATGTAAATCATAACTCAACAATCTCAAGACTCTTTTACAGAATTTTCAAAGAGCAGACCACAGTTCCTTATACCCAGCGAACTGAATTGCCCAGTCAAAAAAATGTAGTAAATCAAAGGTACAGGTCCCGACGCCATGGCTCACACCTGTAATCCCAACACTTTGGGAGGCCAAGGCAGGCAGATCACTTGAGGTCAGGAGTTCAAGACCATCTTGGTCAACATGACAAAATCTCGTCTCTACTAAAAATACAAAAATTAGCTGGGCGTGGTGGCATGAACCTGTAATCCCAGCTACTCAGGAGGCTGAGGCACGAGAATCACTTGAACCCAGGAGGTGGAGACTACACTGAGTCGAGATTGTGTCACTGCATTCCAGCCCGGGAAACAGAGTAAGACTGTCTTAAAAAAAAAAAAAAAAAATGCTGGGTGTGATGGCTCACGCCTGTAATGCTAGCACTTCGGGAGGCTGAGGCGGGTGGATCACAAGGTCAAGAGCTGGAGACCAGCCTGGCCAACATGGTGAAACCCTAACTCTACTGAAAAAAAAAAAATACAAAAATTAGCCAGGCATGGTGGCATATGCTTGTAGTCCCAGCTACTCGGGAGGCTGAGGCAGGAGGTGGAGGTTGCAGTGAGCCAAGATCATGCCACTGCCACTGCACTCCAGCCTGGACAACAGAGTGAGACTCCGTCTCAAAAAAATAAATAAATAAAAAAGGTGGCCAGGCACAGTGGCTCACGCCTGTAATTCCAGCACTTCGGGAGGCTGAGGCAGGCGGATCACAAGGTCAGGAGTTCGAGACCAGCCTGGCCAATACGGTGAAACCCCGTCTCTACTAAAAATACAAAAATGAGCCGGGTATGGAGGCGGCCACCTGTAATCCCAGCTACTCGGGAAGCTGAGGCAGGAGAACTGCTTGAACCCAGGTGGCAGAGGTTGCAGAGAGCCAAGATCGTGCCACTGCACTCCAGCCTGGGTGACAGAGTGAGAATCTGTCTCAAAAAAAATAAATAAATAAATAAATAAAAATAAATTAAAAAGGTACAGAAACTACAGGTCTTGGCCGAGCACAGTGGCTCACACCTGTAATCCTAGCACTTTAGCACTTTGACAGGCCAAGGTGAGGAAACCATCTGAGCTCAAGAGTAGGAGTTCAAGACCAGCCCAGGCAACATGGCAAAACCCTGTCTCTGCAAAAAATACAAAAAGTAGCCGGGCCTGGTGGCGCGCACCTGCAGTCCCAGGAGGTGCAGGTAGGAGGATCACTGAGTCTGGGGAGGGTGAGGCTGCAGTGAGTAGCCTCAACGTGTGATCACGCTATCACACTCCAGCCTGACCAAGAGTGAGATCAAAAGAAACTACAGGTCATCCATATAACATTTTTCTAACCACAATAAAAAAAGAAAGTTTCATCATAGCATTACACATGTTCTTCCATGGCTGTTAACATTTTCTACACTACTATTATAAATATCCTATCCCCTGTCCTTGCCTAAGCTTCAGGAAAGCAGGATCCTAAGTCTGATCAAAGTTTCTAAGAAACAGCACTCATAAGAGGAAATACCAAAACTTATTAAGAAAACTGCAGGATGACAATAAAAACTTAATTAAAAGGCACTAGTTTTTCCCTTATCAGTAAAATATAGGATTTCCTGATCTCTCAGCTATTGAGGTATACAAAGAACTTTATCACCATGGAATCTGAGCTGGGAAGGACTTTGTTTCACTATTATATATAATCAGATCTCTGCAGAGCAGAGACCCTATGTTGGTTTACGTCAGTGATTTTTAAAACTGTAGGCCCCAAACCAGCAACATCAGCATCAACTGGCACCTTGTTAGAAACACAAATTCTCAGGCACTACCCCAGACCTACTGAATCAGAAACTCAGTGGTGGCTGGGGGAACCCAGCAATTTGTAGTTGGTATTGAGTCTTCTGGGTGATTCTGATGCATGCTTAAGTTTGAGAAACACTCATCTCGTTCAAATACATTGTAATTAACTTGTAATAGCCCAGTAGAACCTGGAAATAAATTATTCTGAATCAAACATATGGTATGATTAGTGACCTTAAAAACCATTATACGGGGCCGGGTGCAGTGGCTCACGCCTGTAATCCCAGCACTTTGGGAGGCTGAGGCGGGCAGATCACGAGGTCGGGAGATCGAGACCATCCTGGCTAACAAGGTGAAACCCTGTCTCTACTAAAAATACAAAAAAAAATTAGTCGGGCGTGGTGGCGGGGACCTGTAGTCCCAGCTACTCAGGAGGCTGAGGCAGGAGAAAGGTGAGAACCCGGGAGGTGGAGCTTGCAGTGAGCCGAGATAGCGCCCCTGCACTCCAGCCTGGGCAACAGAGCGAGACTCCATCTCAAAAAAAAAAAAAAAAAAAAAAACCATTATACAGCAGCTTTAATTTGGAAGTAAGTTGTTTAATAAACTTTAAAGTTGAAACTTTAAACAACCCAGAAAACTTGAACTGTGGCTGGATTTCTAGACCAGTTTACGAATCTAACCTAGTAACTATTTCATAAAGAGAACACTCGTTTATGATCTGAACACTTAGGGGTTACCACCTTTGAGAAGGAGAGGTGAGAGAGAAAAAACAAAGGCATACCACTGCCATTTGTAAGTAGTACTTTTGTTAAATCTTGCATTCTTAGCTGACACCTCAGAAGTTAAACTAAGTGGTAAATACCAAAATGTACACTATAAACAGAAAGCCTCTTACGACAATTGGTCTAATTTTTTACTTTTCAAAATGAAAGTAGCTATTACTATAGCTATAAAGATTACTATAGCTTGCAATCTCAGCTTACTCCTTAAGTGGCCTTCCATGATAAGGAAAAGGATATGGTATCTGCACTTCTCCAAATACAATTTGCCTAATCTTTGAAAGCACAGACTACTCAAGAGAAAAATGATGCCATCTTAAGTGGCTTCATTCCTATTGTCACTTCCTATTCAAATGGTTTACATTAAAGTCCAACTAGAAAATTTGTCCACTGGTGTTAAAATTTACAGCATGAACTAAGCGAATATACAAGGAATAGCTTGTCACATTGACAGATCCAACATTATACTAAGAACAGAATGGTAAGATAGGAGTAATAAAGGGCTCCAGACAGACACAGCTTTATTCTTTCCTGGGCTGGAACATGGCTAACAGCAGCAGAAGAGGTAACAATAAATTGGTCAGCTACTCATGAAACAAATAAAATAAGATATTAAGTATTTTTCCTAGAGAATGAAACCATTTTCCTAGCATAAAAATGTATCTTCAGGCCAGGCGCGGTGGCTCACACCTGTAATCCCAGCACTCTGGGAGGCCGAGACAGGTGGATCACCTGAGGTCAGGAGTTCAAGACCAGCCTGACCAACATGGAGAAACCCCGTCTCTACTAAAAATACAAAATTAGCCAGGCATGGTGGCACATGCCTGTAAACACAGCTACTAGGGAGGGTGAGGCAGCGGTGAGCTGAGATCACACCATTGCACTCCAGCCTGGGCAACAAGGGCGAAACTCCATCTCAAAAAAAAACTATCTTCATCAGAAAGCCTACTACGTTACAATGTTGATAACACACACCTGCCCTCTTAGATCCTTTCTAACTTGAAATTCAATTTAGAGTTCCTTTTCAGCTGAGTATCCTAAGTGTATTAAAAATCCATTTACAGCACACATATGAGCAAGATAAAAATCAGGCCATTTCCCAGATTACCCAGAGTCTTTAAGGGGGAATCATGGGAGAGGTGTGACCACACCCAGTAGATGTCAGAGTCATGTGGTACTGGGAAATAATTATCCCAACAAGTGCTATCCAGTCTCGCTCTATATCCTGTTTCTTTACTGCTTTTAATAGTTGACAGTATTCACTATGTAACAGACATTCAAATTTAAAAGGTAGCTAAACCTATCAGGGAGGCATTACTATCAATCATATTTCACCTAACTGTAAATTGAAAGACACAGTTAAATAACTTACCTAAGTAAGGTCTTAAATCCCAGAAAAATCATTTGTGCCTTAACAACCCTCCCCCTTAGAATGTCATTCTGGATTCCAGCTGTTGCTACATTCCAGCTCTGCCTCTGCTGCTGCTGTTTTCTTCCTTTCTCCAATCAGATTATTATGTTGTGCTGAATTGCAATACATCTAGATCTTCCATTCTTCCCAAGAAGTTTTTCATCACCACCAAAGTTACTTTCTTGAAATGGATTTTTTAAATTAAGTTCAGTAGGTGCCATTAGGGTGCCAGAAGAGGGATATCCATGATAGATGTCCTCCTGGGCTTTGCTTCTTTATTGTTATAGCCAACAAATTCCACAAATAAAAAATTTAAGAAGAAATTTTTAATTATGCAATTAAAAATAAATAGCAAAGAGAGATGATAAACTCCAAAAAACCCTAAAAATTCTTCAACTAGACAATTTTAAATAGTCAGAAGGAAGATTAGGAGGAAACATCTGAAAAAAACTAACTTGGCTTTCCAGGAAAACTTCGTAACTCCTATTCTCAAATAAGGAGATGTCTAAACTGAGAGGGAATACTTAAAAATGAAGCCTAAAATAACCAAAGTAGTTAAGAGCACCTAGCTATACTTTATGTATCCAGGCCAAATAAATCACTTCTAGAGTACTGTACCAACTTTTGCAAAAACAAAATATTTCTTTTCCTCTCAACTTTCCATAATCTTTAGCAGTTTTCCTTTTTTTTTTTTTTTTTTGAGACGGAGTTTTGCTCTGTCGCCCAGGCTGGAGTGCAGTGGCGTGATCTCAGCTCACTGCAAGCTCTGCCTCCTAGGTTCACGCCATTCTCCTGCCTCAGCCTCCCGAGTAGCTGGGACTACAGGCGCCCACCACCACGCCCGGCTAATTTTTTTTATTTTTAGTAGAGACGGGGTTTCACTGTGTTAGCCAAGATGGTCTTGATCTCCTGACCTCGTGATCCGCCCGCCTCGGCCTCCCAAAGTGCTGGGATTACAGGCGTGAGCCACCGCGCCCGGTCCAATCTTTACCAGTTTTTCCAGGTATTATTTCAAGTCCCCAATCCCCACATTCTCTGTTCTTCACTTAGACAATTACGAGTTTTGACTTTGCCCACAATGGTAGGCAGCTGACTGTCTCCTATTTGCCCTCCACAAATTCAACTGAGTATTGTTAGCTAGTGAAATCCCCAGAAGACAAAAAAGATAGTAAGCAAAAGTTTCCTCAATTTTTAAAAGCAGGGTAGAAAGAACATACACTACAATCCATAGCTGATCCATGGCAGCTTTCTTCAAATGTTGAAAGCATGCTCATGTAGCGGGAGTCTATGCTGTTCCAGAAAACAAAGACTATTAAACAGTGGTGGTAAGGATATACTTTTTTTTTTTTTTTTTTGAGACAGACTCTCGCTGTGTCACCCATGCTGGAGTGTAGTGGTGCGATCTTGGCTCATGCAGCCTCTGCCTCCCAGGTTCCAGCGATTCTCCTGCCTCAGACTCCCAGGTAACTGGGATTACAGGCATAAGCCACTACGCACGGCTAATTTTTGTATTTTTAGTAGAGACGGGGTTTCACCATGTTGGCCAGGCTGATCTCCAACTCCTGACATCAGGTGATCTGCCCGCCTCAGCCTCCCAAAAGTGTTAGGATTACAGGCATGAGCCATTGTGCCCGGCCGGTAAGGATATACTTCTACCACCAAGAACTTAAAGAGTGGCACACCAATGAAACAAATTTTCATTGAGAAACGAGCACTCTACCAGGCCCTGGAAGACTGGTTAAAGCAGAGGCTGAATGAACACCTGTCAGGAATGCTGGATTTCTGAACGCTAAGAATGGCATAAGAATGCTAACCTAGGCCAGGTGCAGTGGCTCATGCCTGTAATCTCAACACTTTGGGAGGCCAAAGTGGACGAATCTCCTGAGGTCAGGAGTTTGAGACCAGCCTGGGCAACATGATGAAACCTGGTCTCTACTAAAAATACAGAAAATTAGCCGGGTGCGGTGGTGGTTGCCTATAATACCAGCTACTTGGGAGGCTTAGGCAGGAGAATCACTTGAACCTGGGAGGCAGAGGTTGCAGTGAGCTGAGATTGCGCCATTGTACTCCAGCCTGGGCAACAAAAGCAAAACTCCATCTCAAAAAAAAAAAAAAAAAAAAAAAGGATGTTACCTAAGGTTCCATTGTAAGATAATTTTTCAAGCAGGTTAAGTATCCAGGAGTTTAGTTTCACAAGCCGTTTGTCCAATTTTTTAAAAAAGATAAAAGCCAATCCTGTAAAAACCTTTATTCCTTGTCCAAGGTTATAATTATGCAGGTAAGTCTGAGTGAATTGAAGCAGCTGACTCTAGTAGGAAAAAGAAATGTTAACAAGTTCCAGCATCACCTACTTTGAACTATATTCTTAAAAAGTCTAAAGCTTCTAGATTTGAAAAGCAAATTACCATAAATAATCTTAAAGGGCATCTTTCAAAATATTAGTTGCTTTAACCAAGCTATTCCTTAGCATAATTCTGTACAACTTATTTATATTAATACATTCCTTGGGAGTTAAATGTAAAAAAATTACATCCCCACCATCACTGTTTTAATACTTTTTCGTTTTCTAAAACAGCACAGACTCCTGCTACATGAGCAAGCTTTCAGCATTTGAAGATAGCTGCCATGGATCATCTATAGATTGCAATGTGTTCTTTCTACCGTCGTCCTTTTAAAAATTGAGGAAACTTTTGCTTACTATCTTTCCTGTCCACAATGTAAAAAGAAGTTCAATGTAACTCAAAGTGTAAGCCCAAAGGGTTTTTTAATGACTAAAATATATTTCAGTTATTTCTATGTTTAGATAACAGTATTGAGGGGGGCCAGGCACAGTGGGTCAACCCTGTAATCCCAACACTTTGGGAGGCTGAGACAAGAGGATCGCTTAAGGCTAAGAGTTCAAGGTTGGAATGAGCTATGATTGCCCTGCTGAACTCCAGCCTGGGTGATAGTGAGACCCTGTCTCTAAAAAATTAAAATTAAAATATTTTTAGAACAGTATTGAGGAGAATGCAATGAAATTTCCAATAATGTACAATGGTTCTAATAATAAGAATTATCTGTGTTCTCTTAAGACCATTCACATATCTTGCTAATGCTACCCAGCTTTTTTTTTTTTTTTTTTTTTTTGAGATGGAGTATCACTCTGTTGCCCAGGCTAAAGAACAGTGGCGCGATCTCGGCTCACTGCAACGTCTGCCTCCCAGGTTCAAGCAATTCTCCTGTCTCGGCCTCCCAAGTAGCTGGAACTACAGCTGCATGCCACCATGCCCAGCTAATTTTTCATATTTTTAATAGAGGCGGGGTTTCACAGGTTGGCCAGGCTGGTCTCGAACTCCTGACCTCAGGTGATCCACCTGCCTCAGCCTCCCAAAGTGCTGAGATTACAGGCGTGAGCCACCATGCCCAGCCTGCTACCCAGCTTAAAAAAAAAAAAAAAAAAAAAGTATTCTTCTACTTGCCTACTCATCAACTCTACACACCTGTAAAAAGTAAAAAACCCTTCAGGAAAAAAATCAATTTCAATAAAAAAACACTGCAAGTAAATAGTTCTGTGCAAAAAGCATTTCCTCCCTAACCCCATGGATTAATCCATTTTAACAGGGTTGTTAATGAAGCTACAGATATTTCTATGTAATGATTTGGCCAAACTACCAAGTACTTATTCAGCATATACCATGTGTGAGAAAGCGCAGCAAAGTAATGTTAATAGTCTCTGCCCACAAAGAGCTTATTACCAATTTAGAAAAACATGTAAGGTTAACAACACAAGGCAATATAAAAATGTCAAGAAGTTTTGGACGCCGAGGCAGGCAGATCACAAGGTCAGGAGTTCAAGACCAGCATGGCCAACATGGCGAAACCCCGTCTCTACTAAAAATACAAAAAATTAGCCAGGTGTGGTGGCATGCACCTGTAGTCCCAGCTACTCAGGAGGCTGAGGCAAGAGAATCACTTGAACCCAGGAGGCGGAGGTTGCAGTGAGCCAAGACCACACCATTGCACTCCAGCCTGGGCGACACAGCAAGACTCCGTCTCAAAAAAAAAAAAAAAACAATGTCAAGAAGTGTACAGACAATAGGTAACAGGGGAAGTTAAAGGAAACAAACTACTTTAGCTGAGCATGGTCAAGAAGCACACCCTCCCCTTTCCTCAGGAAGTTTGAATTTTGAACTCTACTCAGTAAATTATCTTTCACCCACGTTTTTGTACTCATAGTCTATCTAACAAAAGCACTGTAGTAGAGCTAGTGAAAGAAAGAAATAAATGAGCTAAAACAAAGCAATTTACAGTTCCAACTTTGGATGAATTTCTCTTCTGCTACTCCTCTCACTCTTCTATACTGTATACACACACACCATTCATTTCCCCCAGAAAAAGGAACCAACTACCAAAAAATACCCAGAAGCTTGGAATACAGTAATTTGGATGAAAAGGTTGTCACACTTCTTATTTCTCTCTACTGGTAATGCTTTTTCCAGATTTTTCCGGTCTACAACATACCAAGCTGGAGTAGAGTCTGACAAATGTACATAGGAAGCTAAACATAAAGAAAAACTTCAGAGTTTTAACTTTATAAAAGTTTATTTCATTACAATATGGATGTCCCAATGATACCTGACACACTGGGATTTTACCTTACCGATATTCTCAGAACCCCATTACCCGGACAATGCAAACACAAAGTTCAACAATGAGACATTAATAAAAGTCTAATAATAAGGAAATGGAAAGCATTTTTCTTTTGCATTCAGTTTTTTAAAACAGAAAAACTCTAAGGATTTGAAGCAAAAGGCTTTACTTGATTCTACATAATTAAACATGAAAACTACACTTAGGCCGTGGAACATTACAAATTCTAATTACTCCCATAAAACATTATTTAAGAGGCCGGGTGTGGTGGCTCACGCCTGTAATCCCAGCACTTTGGGAGGCCAAGGCGTGCAGATCACTTGAGGTCAGGAGTTTGAGACCAGCCTGGTCAACATGGCAAAACCCCGTCTCTACTAAAAATACAAAAATTAGCTGGGCGTGGTGGCATGCACCTGTAATCCCAGCTACTCGGGAGGCTGAGGCATGAGAATCACTTGAACCCAGGAGGCAGAGGTTGCAGTGAGCTGAGATTGCACCACTGCACTCCAGTCCTGGGCGACAGAGCAAGATTCTGTTTCAAAAAAAACTGCGAGAATTTTGGAAATCACCCATTCCAACCTAAGTCATTCCATATAAACATCTCAATTTTGTCTTCTATAAAATGAACTGGACTAAATTCTAAGGTGGTTTAAGCTCTAAAAAAAAACTCTTAGGCCGGACATGGTGGCTCATGCCTATAATCCCAACACTTTGGAGGCTGAAGTGGGTGGATCACTTCAGGTCAGGCGTTTTGAGACCAGCCTGGCCAACATGGTGAAATCCCATCTCTACTAAAAATATAAAAAATTAGCCGGGCGTGGTGGCGGGCGCCTGTAATCCCAGCTACTCAGGAGGCTAAGGCAGGAGAATAGCTTGAACCTGGGAGGGGGAGGTTGTAGTGAGCCGAGGTCATGCCATTACACTCCAGCCTGGGCAACGAGAGCAAAACTGTCTCAAATAATGATAATAAATAAAAATTAAAAATCCTCTAAATTTTATAACAGTGTAAGATTATAGCTATGACAAAATTGCTATAAGTTTAACCTTTTGCAAAAGTATTGCAAAAATTAACACTTTTACTAAAGGAAAAGTGTTAGTTTTTCTAAAAGATGAAACAGTACTAGTCTTCATCTAGCCCTAAATGTAAACTAGGAAATTAATTACATAAAATTTTGGCAAATTGTATGCTTAATCTGTAAGTCACACAAAATGCATTCTCAAATATCTGCCACATGGGTAGTATCCTAGAGTACACTAATTTGGCCACGTTAAAACAATACATTCTCAATGTAATACTTAGGCTTCGACTCTCACCCTAGAAAAAGGTACCCATTATCACTTGGGGGAATTCACAGCTTTAAATACTTCCCAGTGCTACACATACAAACACACACAGTCAAGCAAAGGGAAACAAATTAAGCATTACAGCTTTTTTCTATGACAAGGTGAATGCAAAATAATCTTGCCCTCTGCATTGCAGAAGAATAGTTCTTGCAACCCATGGAAAAGCAAACACATCAAGAGATCTTAAATGTCAAAGAAGGCTTCAGGTAATAGCCTCAAGGAAAGATTTTACTTATAAAATAGTTAAGAATGTTTTTATTTTAAAACACTGAACACATAAGTTCTGCACAACAGCTGCAATGAAAATTCTAAGCACAGACACACTGCAACGTTCTAGAAAGAAATGTTACCCTCACAACAACAGCATTCTTTTTAAAGAATACTACTAACTGCAAAGATGAAGTGCAGAAAGCCTTCAGGAAAAAGTATTAAAAACACTACACTTCTGGCTATCAGTTTTGGTCACTTAGTGGTTAAAAAGCTGTCAGGCTATTTTTGCATTTTACGCAAGTGATCATTAGTTAATCTTTCACCTACCAAAGTCACTAGAGTCTAAACCTATTATATTCACAAAGAATATAACAATTTTAAATGTCATCTATTAAAACATCCTTTATTCTATATCACAACTGATTACATCTAATAATATCAAATGAGGTCTCTCTTCAGTTAAAATTAAGACTTGGTTTTGAAATATCTTGCATAGCCTAGGGCCCAGTTCAGCACCAATGAACTGATAAAGAAAACTAGGCAGTTAATCATTCAATTCAATATTACCTGTAAGATTTGCAAATGGATTTTACACTTGATTATCACAGCTGTATTTCTTCTCTTTGCTAAACATTCATGTACTCTTTATAAGCCTGAATTTAAAAACCCACCAAGCCTTTTAGTTGCATTACATAACACGATCATATTTCATCAACATTAAGAGCATGCATTCTCAATGAGCAGATGCTTAGCTTTTTCTTTAATGGCTCAAATTATTAGGAAATAAACAACTTTGTTTTTTAAAGTACAATAAAATTATTTCAATTCTCTGTTTTAATTTAAGCAATACTACATATCCATAGTCATTTTTGCCAGGATATTTGATTTTAAAATCCATAAAAAAAGCATTTTGGTCCAGAAGGCTCCGATAAGAATAGGTCAAGATTGAAATAAAGCTCAAATGTAAGTTGCTAAATGGACTGAAGTCAAAACAAATCTAATTGTAAATAGTACCTCACTTTACTCCACAAGGGTTTCTAAAGAGGAATTCAAAACTGATTTGTAAAGCAATCCTATTTTAGTGCATTAGAAATGCTCACTTATACTTAAAAACAGTTAAGTCTTCTCACAAGTAAATCATCTAAATATAAAAAGGATTTAAACTAAAAACCAGATGTGCTTAAATTTAGGGCAAATCCAAATGCCCTGGGTTTTTCAAAGGGCAAAAGATATAGTTTTAATAGCAATTAAGTCAACATCAATACTGCCAACTTAACTACTTAACATGTAGGTAGAGTTCAGTCTGTGGCTTATCAAAGTCTCAAGACTTAACTGTAACTTGACCTTTTTGCTGCTATCTACCACTTAAAACACTGAGAAGACAGAAAAAAAAGTTACTTTGTGCAGTTTGTTGAATCTCCATTATTAACACGGCAATCTTTCAGTATGTATTAGCCTAGTTAATAACCTATGTAATAATTACATTATTTTCTCCTTTATGACTTTAGGGGAGGCCCGGCATGGTGGCTCACACCTGTAATCCCAGCACTCTGGGAGGCCGAGGCGGCTGGATCACCTGAGGTCAGGAGTTCTAGACCAACCTGACCAACAAGGTAAAACCTGTCTCTACTAAAAATACAAAAATTAGTTGGGCGTGGTGGCAGGTGCCTGTAACCCCAGCTACTCTGGGCGGGGGGCCGAGGCAGGAGAATCGCTTGAACCCAGGAGGCGGAGGTTGCAGTGAACCGAGATCACATCGTCGCACTCCAGCCTGGCGGACAAGAGCGAGACTTCTCAAAGAAAAAAAAATTGCCTGGGGTGGTGGCGCACACTTGTAATCACAGCTACTTAGGAGGCTGAAGCGGGAGGATCACTTGAACCCGGGAGGTGGAGGTTGCAGGAAGCCAAGATCATCCTACCGCACTCCAGCCTGGGCACTCCAGCCTGGGCAACAGAGATTCATCTCAAAAAATAAAAATAAAATAACAAAATCACTTGAGGGTAGGGTATGACAGAGTATAGTAATTCACATACACCTATACACATTTAATGACCAGTCATGGTTCAAGTCCTCAGGAGGGGCTTATAAACTAGATTTATATTTTTTTTTCAGAAGTACTTGAACACTAGATTCTAACAGCCACCTCACAACTAAATTGGCTGCCAATCAGCACCTACCTTTATATTAACTTCTCTGAGGAGTTATCTTTCAGTCATTAATGTCTCTACACTTTATATCACTAATCATTAATGTTCATAATTAGTATTAACACATTATTAATGTTCACAATCATTAATATTTTATGTTCAATTACTGTCCTAGAAAAAAACATTTCCAAGAAATTCTAAAGAATCAAAAACTCAAGTAGCAGCCAGATCAGCAGGCTTGCTTACTGCATTAAAATTTTAAAAAGAGGCCGGGCACAGGGGCTCACTCCTGTAACAGCACTTTGGAAGACCAAGGCGGGCGGATCAGGAGGTCAAGAGATCGAGACAATCCTGGCCAACAGGGTGAAACCCTGTCTCTACTAAAAATACAAAAAATTAGCTGGGCGTGGTGGCAGGCACCTGTACTCCCAGCTACTTGGGAGGCTGAGGGAGGAGAATCGCTTGAACCCGGGAGGTGGAGGTTGCAGTGAGCTGAGATCGCGCCATTGTACTCCAGCCTGGGCAAAAAGATCGAAACTCCGTCTCAAAAAAAAAAAAATTTAAGAAGATACCCAACAGGGTAAACTAAATCATGTGTCAGACTCAGAAGATACTGGCCTTGGGCATGCTTATTCCATTCAACATTTGAATGTAGCTACCTTACACTTAAAATACTTTTGTTACTTTCTTGATGTAACTACATTTACTATTCCAATTACCTATAATAAAACATACATTTATCAAAATAAAGGATTGGGAAAAAAAAGAAATCCCAAGTCCATGAAATTCAAGTAAAACTTCCAACCTTCAATACCGAAGATGAAACAGGGAAGTATCAAATCTAAATGTTTTAAAACTCTCCCAAAATGTAAAATATATAAGTAAAATTAATAAGACCTAAACATCACCAGTTTTCTTCAACTTATTTCCCACAGCCCAAGTTTTAGCCAGTTACTATATCAGCACCTCAAGTAACACTATTAGGTGTCTGGCCACATAAACACTGCAAAATGATTTCCTGGAAATTCAAGATGTTATAAATATGTTTTCCTAGAGGCAGACAAGTAGAAGTTATCAAGGCTTCATTTTACTTTATAAGGTAAAATTCAAGTTAACATGATAGTCACAGACGTAATTACCTCGTTTTTACAAACGACTAATTTGTTTCTCCCCTTCCACCTCTGATCTTACTCATTTTAATTATTCACTCTGCCCAGACCTTTTCTCTACATACATACACACGCCCCTCTAAACAAGAGTTTACACTGTCCTGCGATGAAAGCATAAAACAAAAGGCTGACTTGCAGATGAAGATATACCTCAGTAGTTTGATCTACAAGGACTAAATATTGAATCCAAAAAATCGTGGGTGTGGCTCGATTTTTTTTTTTTTTAGAGGGGGGCCTAAGGAGGCCAGTCGGGGCGGCTGCCTGGTCTCTGCCCTCCCCCTCTGCTTTCGCTTTGTGCTCACAATGCAGCTCCAGTAAAGCGCTTCCCTCTCCCCGCAGCCGCCGCCATGTTAGACGCTCTCTCCATGTGCCCCGAGTCCCAGCCATCCTCTCCAGTCTCCCCAGGACCCAGCCCCCAACGAATCTAAATCGTGGCAGTCCCCCGCCCCTTCACAGTCCCCTAGGAACAAAAAGTCGCTGCAGAAAATCATCTCGCGATTGAGCTGAGCCTGAGGCTCGGGGGGACACCTAAACAATTGAAACAAAGAGGGAAACGCAGGGGAGCCCATCGCATGGGCGCGGGGGTAGCAAATCGAAGACCCATTCAAAATGGGCCTGCCGGAAAGGCAGTTCTACCTTAAGATTCTAAACACACTTCTCTCCTACGGAAGAAGAGGGGACGCTCGACAGGTCTCGAGTGCATGGTAACCGAGCGGACAGACCCCAAGGCTGCAGGACGCAGGCCGCCCCAACTCCACGAGGCGGTCGGTTGAACCCGGAGCCCCCCGCGCAGGGACCTCTTCATTTTGGGCCCTCGTCAGAGAAATCGGGCCTCAGAGACGGAAAGAAGGGCACCATACAGTGAAGTCCTGACGACAGGCCCCCACCCTCACATGTCCCACTCCTAAAGGCCAAAAAGCCGGACCCACAGCGGAAGAGTAATAAAGAGGCCTGGGGTACAGTGCCGCGTCCGAGTCAGGTGACAAGTGCCTCTTCCAAGAGCCCGTTTTCTGGGCACGAAGCTCCCGCTGAACGTGGAGACGGGGCGTGTGGGCCAGGGGGTGGGAGGAGGGGACCTAGTAACGCTCCCGAGACGAAAAGAAGCGAAGGCTCCAGCGACCAGGGTCGGAGGGGCCGCAGAGCCCGGCCGCAGCCACCCCTCCCTTCCCCGCCAACTCCTGGCACCTTTTTCTTCTCCAGGTTCCGAAGTTTCTTGTCGATCACCCCGAGAATCTGCTTCATGGCCTCGGTCTGGACAGCGCCGGTGCCGGTTGCGGGGTGCTGAGAAGCCGGCGCGGCGGCCCCGGCTCCCGCGGCCGCCTCACTCCCGGAGGAACCCGACGGCGGTGGCGGTCCGGACGACTTGCTGCCGCTCCCGCTGTGGCTGGTGGCCGAGGGCATCTTCAGACCGCAAGGAGAGAGAAGAAAAAGCGGGAGGAAGGACAAGAGCGGCCAGTCAGGAGACGGACGGGGCGAGACGCGGGACAAAACGCGCAGCGAGCGGTAGCCTACGCGAGCGGGTGGGGGAGGGGGCGCGGCGCGCCTCGAGGGCAGGAAGAGTGCGCGGGCGCGCGCGCGACCCGCCAGCGGGGCGCCCGGCTGGGCCTCGCACCGCCCCCCGACCCGCCCCTCCCCCGCGGAGCCGCCGGCTCGGCCTACCAGCCCGGGGGCTCCGAGGCTCGCGCCGGAGGCGGGGCATCGCCGCGCCGGCCGCCAACGGCCACTGCAACGGTCCCTACCGGGGAGGGCCGGCTTTTGCCGGCTTCCGGAGAAGGGAGGAAAGAGAGAGGTCGGGGCTTGGGGGCAGAGAAGGGCATGGGAAATGACCGGGGTGGGGTGGGGGGACTTGGGGGCAAGCCCCTCGGAAGCTCCAGCGGGTCCGGAGATAAAGGACACCCGGGCGCAGCGGCCCTCTTCCCCTGCAGCGGCTCGGTCCCGGGTGGCGCTCACCGTGCGCGCGCGGAGGCCGCTGGAAATCACGAGTGGGCAGCTGAGGGGGCAAGGGTGGTGGTCCCTTCCGGGCAGTGTCGCGCGCTCCGTGGGCGCAGGCCGCTTCGCCCTGTCCCGCTGCACCGAGAGCCGCTCCTAGTGAGGCGAGAGCCGGGAGCGGGAGGGACTTAGCCAGCCAGCAGCCCTCTGGGTCGCGAGGGGCGGGAGAAGCGGAGAGCGGGGGCCTTCGCGGCCGCTCGGGCTGCCCGGCGCGAACGCCTGCCCGGAAGAGGCCGCCCGCTAGCTTCTCCGCCGTCCCCCGGCCCCGGCGCTGTGGGGCGCCTCCTGGACGCAGGTGGGGATGGCCCCGGCAAGGCCGAAGGAAAGGCCCCTTGAGTTTTGAGAGCAATCGACGCTAGGGTCCTTCAGGCGAAATCGTTTGACGCCCAAACGGGGACAATAGGTGTCAAGCAGCTGGCTCTGGAGCTGGCAACTGCCCCTTGAAGAGCCCTTATTTGGGGTGGGGGTGGGGGTTGGGGGGCAAAGGTTTCTGCAAGTAAGGGGTGCGTGGGGTGGGTGGTGCGATCCCAGCTTCTAGAATTCCTTCTGTATGCAGAGCGAGCAAACTCCATACCCCAAAACGTCTTTTGAAAAAAAGACAACTCGCCGCTTCCCCACCAAACAATCACCCAGTAACCTAGGAGTTCTCTGTAGAACGTGTCGGACACGGTCATGGTTGGTGGCTTTTTAAATCCTAAAGCTCTGGCCTCACAAAGAGTCTTCAGCTACCCTATGATGTTATACATCCAGTAGGCCTGAGTATTACGAATTATTAGACTTTTGTTTCCTTTTTTTTTAGGTTTACCTAACACTGTAAAGAGAACGTTCAATGAAATACAAAGAAAAAGATGATTTTTTTGCTCCAAGAGAATTATTCCAGCCTTGGGGTGGAGTGGGTGTGGACAGTGAGCAGAAAAACAAGAAACCAAGTTCTGGGAGGAAATAAAATGAATATAATCAGTGGAAAATTCAGCAACGCAATATTGTGTGACAACAGTAAATGACCAATTTATAATTTAAATTCTATGAAAAAGAGATTTAGAAGAGAGTTCTACCAAACCCACTGTTCCCTAGGGAATAAAATGAGTAACGCTGACTGGCAACAGTGCATCCTGAGGGAGCCTGGAGAAACAACAGCAGCCTCCGACCTCAAGATATCCTGGTTAGCTGCAAAGTCTGTTATATATTCATTCAAATATTTATTAAGCACCTTACTGTGTGCTGGGAACTCTTAAGTGCTAGGGATTATGAACAAAACATATTTACATGGAGCTTACAATCTAAGTAAGGGGAAGACAAGTAAATACATGTCAGATAGTGAAATGGTAGAGAAAAGAAAAAACGGTGGTCAGGGAAAGCCTTACTGACATTTGAGCTAGTACTGAAGGAAGTGAGGAAGAAGGCTAAGCAGCTACCTTGGAGGAGGAATTTTCCAGGTAGAGGAAACACCAAGTACTAAGATCTGAGACGGAGTGTGCTTTTTGGGTTCAAGGAACAGCACGGAAACCATAGTGGCAAGAGCAGAGAGTAGGAGATGAGGTCAAACATATTAAAGGGGGCTGGTCTTGTAGGGCCTGAAAGACCACGGTAAGGACTTTGGCTTTTGCTGCATTAGATGGGGAGTCATAGTTTCAAAATTTAGTCACCTAAACCATCCTTAGCACTACGCTGAGCAATTATGCCAGGCCTAGAGGCTAGAAACGGAGATGATAATCCTTTAGCTCCTTGCAACTCAAAGTTTATTCAGCCCAACCTCTCTCACTACCACTATCACTACTATCTTGGACTGCATAGCAGACTTAACTGAATCTACATTTTAACAAGATCTTCAGGAGATTTGTGTGTACATTAAAGTTTCAGAAATCACTGTTTTGTTCCTCGGAATTGACCAATGTCTAAAGTTTTATTGGGAGACATCCAATCCATCTATGCACATCCATTCTATGACTGCCTCTCTGCCATAGCACAGCAGAGTTGAGTACTTGGGTGTGCAACAGACAGTAGGGTGTGCAAAACCTAGAATACTATCTCTTCTTTTACAAAAAAAGTGTTTGCCAATCCCTGGTTTAAAACTACAAAGGGGCCAGGTGAAGGGGCTCATGCCTGTAATTCCAACACTTTGGGAAGCCAAGGCTGGCAGATCACTTGAGGTCAGGAGTTCGAGACCAGCCTGGCCAATATGGCAAATCCTGTCTCTACTAAAAATACAAAAAAATTTGCTGGGTGTGGTGGCGCATGCCTGTAATTACAGCTGCTCAGGAGGTTGAGGCACGAGAACCCGGGAGGCAGAGGCTGCAGTGAGCCAAGATTGTGCCACTGCATTCCAGCCTAAGCAACAGAGTGAGACTGTCTCAAAAAACAAAAAACAACTGCAAATGGTACACATCCATCACAGTTCAACAGAGGGCCCTGTTCGTAGTAGTCACTCAGTAGATTCATGCTGATGCCATATCTCAAGTGTTGCTGATCACTGTACCACAAGAGAACTCAGGAATATCTCAGTCAATTAAATGCTTTAGACAAGTAGATATGCATCACATCTGCTTAAATTCATTGGCCAAAAAGAGTCACATGACCCTATCCAACTATAAGGGAGTCAAGAGATGGTATTCTATCAGATGCCGGGTAGGAAGCAGATGAGCCAGAAATATTTGGTGAATATATGAAGCTGTCACGCTTTCACTTCCTATATCATCCCAATCCCATTTCATTGGTGTTCTGACATTCTGCGTTTGTCTGTTCAGGTCAGCAAGTCCAGAAAGACCAATAAATTTAAGGCAAAGCTGTGTCCTAAAGCTCACTTCCTGCCCAGATCAATGCCAAGGTCTCAGTCATTCAAATTTGTGTATTTCCTACTTGACTGAAGCTATGTTTATGTGAATTTTAAATACTCATTTTTTAAACCCTTTTTTCTAGTACAGAGCTATGCAGTAACTTGCAGTCATTGCATCATTGAAGAAATAAAGGGTTCCCAGAAAACACACTGGAGGAGCAGAATATGTTTATAAATGGTTTATAAATTTAAAAACCTTGGTATACTTTAATATATGCCAATATTAAATATATTAACATAAAGCAAATACAACAATATGCAAAATAATATATTTCAATAACAAATCTTTCAAGCTGACATTTGCTTGTTCAATTCATTAGACCACAGCACTTTGAAGTTTCCACAAAGTGAATAATTAAACTATTTATCCTGATCATTTTAGCAAAATAATTCAACTGCTTGAACTTGAGTCACCCAATAAGCTAATGCTTATTTGTAGCAAAAGAGAGGAATCTTCATCTGAATTATATGAACTGCCTCTTTGTTTCAGGTTGACAGAAACCTGACCAAAGTGTGAACTACACTGTTCACATAGCTAAGGCTCTTAAAGTTTCTTAAATTTGTTTTTCCATCATTTTACTACAAGTCAGGAGTAGACATTTCTATCATAATTTTTCCAGTACAGTCTTTTTTATTGTAATTCAATCAATGATTGTCTATGTGTCCATGAACCACCACTAAACTCTAAGCTTTTCAAAGAAAAAGAGCAGTCGTTTTGTTTTTCCATCTCTGGATCCTCATAAGCAATAGCATGCCTGGCACAACTATTTTGTCACTAAGTATTGCCTACTGTATTAACATATCAGTACGGTTTTAATATTATTATTACTATTGGTCCATACTGTCTCTGAATTCTTACATTTTGGTCATCAGCTGAGATAACATCCTTTTCCGCTTATATTTTCCTATGTCCACCTTTTCTTGCGTGTAATATTATGCTTAGAAACAGGACTTCATGTTTTGTAGAGGTACAATATGTTCAGAATAGTTATTTCAGATTTCACGAAATACTGTTGTTTGTTATTGAACACTCTTAGAAGCTACACACTTTACTCAATGTAAAAGTAAACACAGTGGTATGTGCTTGAAATCCCAGCTACTCGGGAGGCTGAAATGAGAGCATTAGTTGAGCCCAGTAGTTCGAGGATGCAATATCATGTCACTACACTCCAGCGTGGACAACAGAGTAAAACCCAGCATCTAAAAAATAAAAATTTTATTTTTATTTTATTTTATTTATTTATTTTTTTGAGATGGAGTATCATTCTGTCGCCCAGGCTGGAGTGCAGTGGCAAGATCTCAGCTCATTGCAATCTCTACCTCCTGGGTTCAAGTGGTTCTCCTGCCTCAGCCTCCCGAGTAGCTGGGATTACAGGTGCATGCCATCATGCCCGACTAATTTTTGTATTTTTGGTAGAGACAGGATTTCACCATGTTGGCCAGGCTGGCCTCAAATTCCTGAGTTCAGGCAACCCACCTGCCTTGGCCTCCCAAAGAGCTGGGATTACAGGCCTGAGCCACTGCGCCCAGCCTAAAAATAAAAATGTTTTAAAAGCAAAAACACCTTGGCCACAGGTACTAAAATCTTTCATATAGTTACTTATATGAATTGTATGTTGTCTTAACATCATGTTTCTATTTCAGTGGTTCCCAACCTGTGGTGATTTTGTCCCTCGGGGACACTTGATTTAAAGGTCTCCTAAGCACCAAATCACTAGCAATGTCTAGAAGTATTTAGTTGTCACAACTTGAGGGGAAGATGTTAATTGCATCCAGTTTGTAGAGGCCAAAGATGCTTCTAAACATCTTACAATGCACAAAACAACACACAATTATTCAGACCAAAACATCAATAATGCCGAGTTTGGGAAATGCTGTTCTATTTTATGAGATAAAAGATGTAGTCACTGGCCAGGCACGGTGGCTCATGCTTGTAATTCCAGCACTTTGGGAGGCCAAGGCAGACGGATCACCCAAGGTCAGGAGTTCGAGACCAGCCTGGCCAACATGGTGAAACCCTGTTTCTACTAAAAATACAAAAATTAGCCGGGCATGGTGGCGGGTGCCTGTAATCCCAGCTACTCAGGAGGCTGAGGAAGGAGAATCACTTGAACCTGGGAGGCAGAGGTTGCAGTGAACCAAGATTGCGCCACTGCACTCCAGCCTGGGTGACAGGGCAAGACTCTATCTCAAAAAACAAAACAAAAAAGTAGTCACTTGTTCTAGCACTTTACAAGTAAAGCTACTCTGATGACACTGGCGCCCCAAATTAAAAATGCCTTTAGAAATGCCTTATTGAGGTGGCTCACGCCTGTAATCCCAGCACTTTGGGAGGCTAAGGTGGGTGGATCACCTGAGGTCAGGAGTTTGAGACCAGTCTGGCTAACGTGGCGAAACCCCGTCTCTACTAAAAAAAATGTAAAAATTAGGCGGGTATGGTGGTGCATGCCTGTAATCCTAGCTACTCAGGAGGCTGAGGCAGGAGAATCACTTGAACCCAGGAAGCGGAGGTTGCAGTGAGCTGAGATCACGGCACTGCACTCCAGCCTGGGCAACAGAGCAAGACTCTGTCTCAAAAAAAAAAAAAAAAAAAAGGAAGAAAGAAAGAAGGGGGGTGGGGCGCGGGTGGGGGAGAGAGAGAGAGAGAAAGAGAAAGAAAGAAAGAGAAAAAGGGGGGAGCGTGGAGGGGGGAGAGAGACAGGAAGGAAGGAAGGAAGGAAGGAAGGAAGGAAGGAAGGAAGGAAGGAAAAGAAAAAAAAGAGAACTAACTGCATTATGCATGTTGCCAAGATGCAAGCTGATCTGTTCGTAGGGTGATCTTGCATCTTGGCAATATGAATAATCATGGTCATTTCAGGCAATAAAGTATTCTGTGTATCAATTCCCCTACTAATACATACAACCACTGTGAACAATAATTTGAGAAAAATAACTTCCTTCAAGGTAACAACTAACTGCTCCATGAATTTTGGAAGGAATAAAACTTTATGTATCTCAGTTAATACATACTAGGGGAATATAAGTATAGAAGTAATCAGCTTATTCAAGATTGTTCCTATAGCTGGTCAGGATAGTATTATTTCAAGAATAATTTTCACACCTAACAGCACAACTCCCCCTATATTAATGGTTTACTCTTTGTGTGTTGATAACTTGTTTATCTTGAGAGCCTGAGAACTTGATTTAAAGGTCTCCTAAGCACCAAATCACTAGAGATGTGAAAAATGTCATGAGAAGATGTAGGTCCTGTGTTTGTTTTTTTCTTGCATAGATTTTCAGTGGATGTAGAATTTGCAAAGGAGAGAGCCCTACCCCCCACACCCCAATTCTCGTCTTTGATGCAGTGCTTCCCAAAGTAGGCAAGGACCACCAATTTCCAAATGACCTGGGGTACTTGTCAAAATGAAAATTCCTAGACTCCCCCCCAGACATTGCCTCTACATCCCAGAATCTGAAACCTAGGAACATCCATTTAAAAAACGAAACTCCCCTTTGCACATTCAAGCTTGTGAATCTCTGCTCTATAGACGTAGAGTGTACATGCTACTCATTTTCACAAAAATAAGTGCCAAAAATGTTCAAAAACATCTTCTTTTCATGGTATCTTCCTATCTTTCCTCCCAGGTAGTGCTGTGACAGTGTCTTAAGTAGGGCATGTTGATAGATGGAAAAGGACGGCAAACTCGAGGTGCTGATTCAGGAAGAAGCAGATTCCAAGATGGAAGAGAAAATATCGAGAGAAATATGCCGAGAGAAGAATCCAGGCAGAATGGAATCCAGGCAGAATGGTGAATGGAAGGTTCGGGTGACCAAGAGAAAGGAAGGGTGACTCAGCAAGTCTGTAGTTTCAGCTCTTGTATAGTACGTTATACTTGAAAAGCTGAAGCCTTTTCTCGGGGAAGAGTCAGAACGGCCTGGAGGGCTTGCTAAAGCGCTGCTGGCTGGGCCCCGCCCGCTGAATGACTAATGGAGACTCTGAGGGCCGGCTGGTAATTTGAGTTTCTAACAAGCCCTGTTTCGATGCTGGTACAGCCGATCTAGGGAAAATATTGGAACAAGGAAAAAACTAAGAAGAAATTTTAAAAAGTAATCAAAGGCGGCCAAGTGAGGTGGCTCACGCCTGTGATCCTAGCGCTTTGGGAGGCCGAGGCGGGCAGATATCTGAGGTCAGGGGTTTGAAGACCAACATGGAGAAACCACGTCTCTACTAGAAATACGAAAACTAGCCAGGCGTGGTGGCTAATGCCTGTAATCCTAACTAGTCAGGAGGCTGAGGCAGAGGAGTCGCTTGAACCCAGGAGGGGGAGGTTGCAGTGAGCCGAGATCGCGCCACTGCACTCCAGCCTGGGCAACAAAGACTCCATCTCAAAAAAAAAAAAAAAAGTAATAAAAAATGACAGTAGTGTACTGTAATATGTATGTTTTCTGCTGCTACTTTTTGTTTTGCATTTTCCTCTTAAAGAGACCAGAAGATGGCTGGGCTCAGTGGCTCATGCCTGTAATCCCAGCACTTTGGGAGGCCGAGGCAGGTGGATCACCTGAGGTCAGGAGTTTGAGACCAGCCTGGCCAATATGATGAAACCCTGTCTCTACCAAAAATACAAAAATTAGCCAGGCGTGGTGGCAGGCGCCTGTAATCCCAGCTACTCGGGAGGCTGAGGCAGGAGAACGGTTTGAACCCGGGAGGCCAAGGTTGCAGTAAGCCAAGATCACGCCATCACACTCCAGCCTGGGGGACAAGAGTGAGACTTCGTCTCCCAAAAAAAAAAAACCAAAAAGAGGGCAGAAGAGAAAAAATAGAAGGAGATATTGGACATCCTAGTCATACCCCATTTAGACTTTGCCTACAGAGGACAATGAAAGAAGGCAGCAACCTTTTCTCTGGGCCCTCCTTGTCTAAACCAAATGCAGATCTGGCAGCCCTATAGTATTGCAAGATCATATTCCTTGGCGTTCTTTGGAGCTAGAGCTGGTGGTGTTTCTCCTCGTGAATGCTGTGCTAACATCCACCTAAAGCGGAAAGAAGACAGTTCTTTAGGATAGCTAGGGCTGATTTGATGTGAGAAAAAGAAATGATGGTGTGACAAGGAATGCGTTTATGCAGCCTTTTCACAGAAAAAAAGTATAAATTATAATTAAATATTTTTAAACCTTCATTTTTAAAAAATTGCAAGAGTAATACAAGTTTATTGCAAATAATTTAGATAAGTAAATTATGCAAAACTAAAACAACAGCTCAGTGTGTTGTATAACTTTTATTGGGCTCTAATTTACCTATCATAAAATTAACCCATTTAAAGTGTACAATTAACTGGTTTTTAGTATATTTGATATTTGAGAGTAATGCAACCATTGCCATTACCTAATTTTAGGACATTTTTATCACCCCAGGAAGTAACATGTACCTCATTAGCAGTCATTCCCCATTTACCCCTCCTCCTAGCCCCTGGCTACTGCTAATCTACTTTCTCTATGAAATTGCCTATTCTGGACATTTTAGATAGCTGGAACCCTACAATATATGGCCTTTTGTGCCTGGCTTATTTCACTTATCATAGTATTTTTAAGATACATCCTTGTTTTGGCATGAATTTCATTCCTTTTTATGGCTGAATAATATTCCATTGAATAGGTATACTAGAGTTTGTTTGTCTATTCATCCATTGATAGACACTTGGGGTGTCTTCCACTTCTTGGTTGTTGTGAATAATGCTGTTGTGAATATTTGATATGGTTTGGATTTGTGTCCCCACCCAAATCTCATGTCAAATTGTGATCCCCAATGTTGGAGAAGGGGCCTAGTGGGTGGGAGGTGATTGGATCATAAGGGCAGACTTCCCTCTTGCTGTTGCTGTGATAGTGAGTTTCACGAGATCTGGTTGTTTAAAAGTGTGTAGCACTTCCACCCTCACTCTGTCTCTCCTGCTGCACCATGTGAAGATTGTGCCTGCTTCCCCTTTGCCGTCTGCCATGATGATAAGTTTCCTGAGGCCTCCCCCAGCCTGTGGAACAGTAAGCCAATTAAACCTCTTTTCTTTATAAATTACCCAGTCTCAGGTAGTTTTTTTTTTTTCAACGGAGTCTCACTCTATCACCAGCCTGTAATGCAGTGACGCGATCTCGGCTCACTGCAACCTCTGCCTCCTGGGTTCAAGTGATTCTCCTGCCTCAGCCTCCCAAGTAGCTGGGACTACAGGCACGCGCCACCATGCCTGGCTGATTTTTTTTTGTATTTTTAGTAGACACGGGGTTTCACCATGTTGGCCAGGATGGTCTTGATCTCTTGACCTCATGATCCACCTGCCTTGGCCTCCCAAAGTGTTGGGGTTACAGGTGTAAGCCACTGCACCTGGCCTCAGGTAGTTCTCTATAGCAATGAGAGAACAGACTAATGCAACATTCATGTACAAGTTTTTTGTATGAACACATGTTTTCAATTCACTAGGTATACACCTACAGTAGATTGCTAGGTTATATGGTAACTTTATGTGTAATGTTTTTGTTTTTGTTTTTGTTTTGGGATGGAGTCTCGCTCTGTTGCCCAGGCTGGAGTGCAGTGGTGTGATCTCGGTTCACTGCAGCCTCCACCTCCCGAGTTCAAGCGATTCTCCTGCCTCAAGCTCCAAAGTAGCTGGGCCTGTAGGTGCGCACCACAACGCCCGGCTAATTTTTTTTGTATTTTTAGTAGAGATGGGGTTTCATCATGTTGACCACACTGGCCTCAATCTCCTGACCTCGTGATCCGCCCTCTTCAGCCTCCCAAAGTGCTGGGATTACAGGCATGAGCCACTGTGCCTGGCCTACATGTAATATTTTGAGCAACTGCCTAAGTGTTCTCCAAAGTGGCTGCACCATATTCAGCTTTGTATGAGGTTTCAATTTCTTTACATCCTCATCAAACACTTGTTATTAGCCATGTTTGTTTGTTTGTTTGTTGTTTTTGTTTTTTTGAGACAGAGTCTCGCTCTATCGCCCAGGCTGGAGTGCAATGGCACAATCTCAGCTCACTGCAACCTCCACCTCCCAGGTTCAAGCTATTCTTCCGCCCCAGGCTCCCAAGTAGCTGGGATTACAGGCACCTGCCATCATGCCCAGCTAATTTTTGCATTTTTTGTAGAGACAGGGTTTCAACATGTTGGCCAGGCTGGTCTTGAACTCCCGACCTCAGGTGATCTGCCCACCTTGGCCTCCCAAAGTGCTGGGATTACAGGTGTGAGCCACCGCGCCCCGCCCTTAGCCATGTTTTTGATTATCGCTGTGCTAGTGAATGTGTCTCAGTGAGAAGCAGTACCTTATTGGGGCTCTATTTGCATAACTGGTTGTCTTTAAACAAGGATTAGATTATTCCACTCTTTGTGGGATTTACATATGATTTTGGAAGAAAGTGGGGGAAATGGAATCATATTTCAAGGGTTCTTTTACCTTTATGATTAGGACTGTCACAGCTCTAGTGTCTACATTGCCAGGCAATGCTATGAAGCACTCAGCTGATGAGGCCTTGGGAAGAAAGTATCAGAAGACTAATACTGGCAGTGAGTGGACACTCAGGCATGTCTGTTGACTGGGATTTGATGATGATTAAACTTAGGCAAGGTCGATTTTTATGTACCGGAAATGTTTGATTTTAGCATTTGGAAGACTTCTCAGCCCCTCATTACTTCTGCAACAAGAACTTAGCACCTTGTGCATGCCAGGCACTGTCTGTGTTTATTCACATGTTGAATAAGACATAATCCTATGGCCTCCAGAAAATTAGTATTAAGAAGGGTAGTCAAATATATAAAGAGATACAATTTAATGTGATATACTTCAGTGAGATACTACTACATAGTCACCAAAATGGCTAAAATTTAAAAACTGAAATGGGCCAGGCACATTGGCTTATGCCTGTAATCCCAGCACTTTGAGAGGCCAATGCGGGCAGATGGCCTGAGCTCAGGAGTTAAAGACCAGCTTGGGCAACATGGCGAAACCCCATCTCTACAAAAACTACAAAAATTACCTGGGCATGGTGGCACGTGCCTGTAGTCTCAGCTTCTTGGGGGGCTGAGGAGAGAGGATCTCTTGAGCCTGGGAGGTTAAGGCTGCAGTGAGCCATGTTCGTGCCACTGCACTCCAGCCAGGGTGACAAAGCAAGACCCTGTCCTAAAAGCAAAAGAAAACAAAACAAAAACAAAGCAAAACCTGAAATAAACAAGGAATGGCAAGAATGTAGCGCAACTGGAATTTCCATGCAGTGTGGATGGGAGTATAAATTGGCCCAGACAGCCGTGCGCGGTGGCTCACACCTGCAATCCTAGAACTTTGGGAGGCTGAGGCGAGTGGATTGCCTGAGCTCAGGAGTTTGAGACCAGCCTGGGCAACACGGCGTAACCCATCTCTACTAAAATACAAAAAATTAGCCGGGCATGGCGGCGTGCATCTGTAATCCCAGCTACTCGGGAGCCTGAGACAAGAGAATCACTTGAACCTGGGAGGTGGAGGTTGCAGTGAGCCAAGATCGTGCCACCGCACTCCAGCCTGGGTGACAGAGTGAGACTCTGTCTCAAAAAAATAAAAAATATATATAAATAAATAAATAGGCCCAGCCATCTTAGAACAGTGTTTGTCAGTATCTCCTAAAGCTGAGTATTCACATACCGTATAACTCAGAAATTCTGCTTTAGGCATATACTAATAGAAAAGCATAGATATGGTCATCAAGAGACATATACAAGCATGTTCATGGCAGCATTGTTCTTAGTAACCAAAAATGGAAACAACCCAAATTTCTATCAATAGTAGAAAAAGATAAATATATGGTATATTTATTTAATACATATAGCTGTGAAAATGAACAAACCACTGCTACTAGCAACAACATGGATAAATTCAACACACATAATGTTGAATCAAAGAAACTAGACACAAAAGTATGGAACAATAAAAACAAACTAATCTATGGTAAAAGAAATCGGAACAGTGATTACCTTTGTCATTAGGTAATGACTGGGATGTAGCACAAGAGAGGCTTTTGAGGTCCTGGCAATATTCTCTTTTTATTTTTTTATTTAATTATTTATTTTTGAGACAGGGTCTCACTCTGTCAGCCAGGCTGGAGTGCAGTGGTGCGATCATGGCTCACTGCAGCCTAGACCTCTCCGGGCTCAGGTGATCCTCCCACCTCAGCTTCCCAAGCAGCTGGGACCACAGGTGTGCGCCACCATGCCCTGCTAATTTTTGTTTGTTTGTTTATTTGTTTGGTTTTTGAAATGGAGTTTCACTCTTGTTGCCCAGGCTGGAGTGCAATGGCGCAATCTCGGCTCACTGCAACCTCTGCCTCCCGGGTTCAAGCGATTCTCCTGCGCCAGCCTCCCAAGTAGCTGGGATTACAGCCGCCACCACGCCAGGCTAATTTTTTGTATTTTTAGTAGATACAGGGTTTCACCATGTTGGCCAGGCTGGTCTCGAACTCCTGACTTCAGGTGGTCCACCCGCCTCAGCCTCCCAAAGCTCTGGGATTGCAGATGTGAGCCACCATGCCCAGCCTAATTTTTGTGTGTATATATATATATATGTTTTTTTTTTTTTTTGGTAGAGGTGAGGTTTCCCCACATTACCCAGACTAGTCTCTAACTCCTGGACTCAAGCTATCCACTCACCTCAGCCTCCCAAAGTGCCAGGATTACGGGTATGAGATATTATGCCTGGCCAATATTCTATCTCTTGTTCAGAGTGATAGTTACATAGCTGTGTTCACTTCGTAAAGTTCATTGAGCCATATGCCTACAGTTTGCACACTCCTGTAGGTATGTTATGCTTCAATATAAATGTCTACTTAAGATATTTTCTTTTTTATGGCAAAAATATGGGCAACCCAGAAGGCTGTACAAGAACAGAGGTGACACATAAGTGGAGTGGGTAACTCTTTATGGGTGGGAATCAGAAAAGGCTCTCTGGAAATGTTGCCAGAGCTGAATTTTGAAAGATTTTTTTTTTTTTTTGAGGCGAAGTTTCACTCTTGTTGCCCAGGCTGGAGTTCAATGGCATGATCTCGGCTCACTGCAACCTCCGCCTCCCGGGTTCAAGCGATTCTCCTGCCTCAGCCTCCCAAGTCGCTGGGATTACAGGCATGTGCCACCAAGCCCGGCTAATTTTTGTATTTTTAGTAGAGACAGGGTTTCTCCATGTTGGTCAGGCTGGTCTCGAATTCCCAACCTCAGGAGATCCGCCCACCTCGGACTCCCAAAGTGCTGGGATTACAGGTGTGAGCCACTGCACCTGGCGAAAGATAATTTTTACAAGAAACAAAAGTGGGTAAAAGAAAGAGGAAAGGCATTGCAGGCAGAGGGAACAGCATGCTCAATAGCACATGAAAGCATAAAATCATATCGTGTGGTTTAGGGATCCCAAGTGTTTCTATATTATGGGAGTATTAATTGGGGAGGGATGGCAGGGAGAGAGCTGCAGATAATAAGACTAGCCAGGTAAGCTATGACCAGGTCATGAAAACTCCTTTTATCCTAGTTACACCGCTTGAACTTGAACTATAGGTCTTAGCCTTCTTATGGAAATACATTCCCCTGAAGTTCTGATTAAAATTACAGACCATCTCATTGGAAAAATGCACATGTAAATTCCTACATATAATTCAGTTCTTCTGATGCTCATCTGTTGATTCCTGGTTCATAGATGTCAGATTTGTAATCCTATCTTTTCTTTTCTTTTTTTTTTTTTTTTTCAAACAGTCACGCTCTGTTGCTCAGGCTGGAGTGCAGTGGTGTGATCTTGGCTCACTGCAACCTTTGCCTTCCAGATTCATGAGATTCTCCTGCCTCAGCTTCCCGAGTAGCTGGGACTACAGGCACGTGCCACCACACCTGGCTAGTTTTTCATATTTTTAGTAGAGATGGGGTTTCACCGCGTTAGCCAGGATGGTCTCGAACTCCTGACCTCGTGATCCGCCCACCTAGGCCTCCCAAAGTGCTGGAATTACAGGCGTGAGCCACCGCGCCCAGCCTAGAATCCTATCTTTTCAATAGACAATTGGAATTAATTAAAAGAGATTTAAGAAGAACAGAGGCAGGATCAGATTTACATTTTAGAAATAATAATGGATTCAATATGGAGGTTAGATTAGAAGCTGAGTCAAGGTAACCTGTAGGAACTGATTAAAATGGTAAAAGAACGGATAAGACATTTAACTACGACAGTGTCCCAGCTTAATTCTAAGTATATTAATAGATCGAGTCACCAAGGATTGGTGGCTGATTAGATGTGAGAAGAAGGTGGCTTCTGGGATTCTCCTGTTTCCAACTTCAGATAGTGGTCAGGCCACCTACCAAAGATAGGAACTAGAGTGTTAGGGACATTTTGGTTAAAAATGAACTGAGGTGGGCCAGGCGCAGTGGATCACGTCTGTAATTCCAGCACTTTGGGAGGCCAAGGCGCACGGATCACAAGGTCAGGAGATCGAGACCATCCTGGCTAACACAGTGAAACCCCATCTCTACTAAAAATACAAAAAATTAGCCGGGCATGGTGGCAGGCGCCTGTAGTCCCAGCTACTCGGAAGGCTGAGGCAGGAGAATCACTTGAACCTGGGAGGCGGAGGTTACAGTGAGCAGAGATCGTGCCATTGTACTCCAGCCTGGGCTACAGAGCAAGACTCTGTCTCAAAAAAAAAAAAAAGGAACTGAGGCAAGATGCTTCTTGGAAAGAAGCAGACCACACCCTAAAGCCAAAGGTTTTAAGTGCATTCTGACTGGTGTTGCAGCCCACACTGCTGGCCTCCTGTGGAACTATATGTATTGAGCCTGGCAGATTGCTGGAGTAGACTTGGGCAGAAAAATCAATTTACATGCACTAAATCACAAAGCCATTAAGGCTTTGCCTTGGGGAATAAAAGCTGATTCTGACACCTACCAGCACTTCTTATCCCTGTGTATAAGCTAGAAGAGCTATGCAAGGGAAAAGACTGAACACCATGGCATTGAGCCACCATAGTTGAATGCAACACTTTGAAAGAAATATATATATATATATATATATATATATATATATATATATATATATATATTTTTTTTTTTTTCCTAGTTCTAGAATTGAAACACTGTTGGGCCCCTAGATAATCAAAATTCTTTCTTTCTTTGAATAAGGATTACCCTGGGCTATTTGGTAGACGTCTGTGCCTAGTCACAGCATATCATAAACCCAATGGATAAGGACTACATGAGGATGGAAGAACACATAGAATTGGGTATTTTACTGACAGTCACAGCAGGCAAAAAGAATATGAGCAAATTTCCCAGTTCCACTTATCAAGACAATCTGTACCTTTGGAATCTAAAGTTACCACACAAGGGAGACAAGTTGAAGGCTCCAAGTCATCTGATTTGAACATTGAAAGGAATGTGACCTCATTTTGAACCCCAGGAGAATGAAAAAGGATATATTGGTCTAATCAGATTTGCATTTTTAAAAGATAACTCTGGCTGCTTTACAAAAAAATAGATTGGAGAGAGGCAAATATGGATGCAAGAATACAAGAGGCCACCATAATCATAGGGGCGATGGTGGCTTGAGCAAAGTACTGGCAGGGCATATGGAGAGATTTTAATGGATTTAATATGCAATTACATATATTTTAGAGGTAGAATAAATAGAACGTGGTAATTGATTGAATATGAGAGGGCAGTAAGGGAGAGAGAGGAGTCACAGATGACTCTTAGCTTTCTAGATTCATACATCTGGTTGGATGGTTAGAACCATCGCGGTAGAAGGACCAGAAGGGCAGCTAAGAGATGGGAAGTTCAATTTTCTTTATTTATTTATTTATTTATTTATTTTGAGAAGGAGTTTCGCTCTTTTTGCCCAGACTGGAGTGCAATGGCGCCATCTTGGCTCACTGTAACCTTTGCCTCCTGGGGTTCAAGGGAGTCTCCCTCCTTCAGCCTCCTGAGTAGCTAGGATTACAGGCACTCACCACCACGCCTGGCTAATTTTTTGTAGTTTTAGTAGAGACAGGGTTTCACCATATATGCCAGGCTGGTCTCGAACTCCTGACCTCAGGTGATCCTACCTGCCTTGGCCTCCCAAAGTGCTGGGATTATAGGCGTGAGCCACCGCATCCGGCCAGGAAGTTCAATTTTATACATGTTAAGTTTGCAGGGGTTATGAGACAGCCAAATGAATGTGCTAAGCAGACATTTAAGTCCAGCCTGAGGTTCAGAGAAGTCTTGGATTCAATGTGGAATTCATTCACATATTGATAGTCATTGAAGCCATGATGTGAGAATAGTGAGATCTATTGAGATATCAAAGCGAAGAGGACTGAGGGCAATACCAACAATTTAAAGATTATATGGATGGGGAAAGTCAGTCTAGGAAACTGAGAAGTAGAGGGAAAAATATCAAGAGAGTATGGCATCACAGAAATCAAAGGAAGAGAGTATTTTAAAGAGTTGACTATGTTAAATGATTCTGAATAGTCAAGATGGAGACTGGAAAATTTGCTGAGTTTTGCCAGCGTGGGCTACACTAAAAATATTTAACAACTGATACGGCTTGAATACCAACCAATCAGAATGAACATTAGCCTGATATGGGACAGGATGAGGCGGGCCTGCGGTGGGTGGCATTAGCTCTTTAGTTGCTAGATGATGGGAAGCTATGGAGGAAGGTCTGAGGCAGTGACCAGAGAGGAGGTACTGAGGGGACTTGGGGTGGCAGTTCTTCTTAAAACTGGCGCAAAAGTATTTCAATAATTTAACAGGAAGTACAGGTATACTTGTGACATGACTGAATGTTTTCCCTGTTTTTAGCAGCAAGAGATCATTGGGAACCCTGGTGAGAGATCATTCAGTGGAATGGCAGGAACCAAAGCCAGGTTCAAGTAGTCTGGGGAGGTGATTAGAGAGTAGACAGAATGAATGTAGACAACTCTTCCAAGATGTTTGGCTTTGGGACGGACAGGGTGATGGCTGGAGGCAGAGGTAGGGGAAATTATTTATTTGTTTTAGTGTGTTGATGGAGACTTGAGCACGCATAAATGGTAAGCACAGACAGAGGGCTCAGCCACAGTTAGAAGGCGGGAACCCTCTTTAGTATGAATGGACCTGAAGAAAATAATTTACAGGCGTTTATAGGTATGGTGGTTGGAAATTGAAGGAATTCCTGCACAATAGATTCTTTTTTTTGCCCACTGTGAACTAAGAGGTAAAAGTTATTTCATGGGAATGAGAGGGTTATGTAAAGAATCAGAAGTTTCATAAAAGTAAGCAGGTAAGTGGGTCAGGGCCTGAGAATTTACATGACAAATTCCAAGGTAATGTTGGATGCTGCTGGTCCAGGTACTGCACCTTCAGAGAAAAGTACAAGGACAGCATGTGGTTAAAAGTATAGGGTTGGCTGGGCGTGGTGGCTCAGGCCTGTAATCCCAACACTTTGGGAGGCCAAGGCAGGCGTATCACCTGAGGTCGGGAGTTTGAGACCAGCCTAGACAACATGGTGAAACCCCATCTCTACTAAAAATACACAAATTAGCCAGGTGTGGTGGTGCATGCCCATAGTTCCAGGTACTCGGGAGGCTGAGGCAGGAGAATCGCATGAACCCAGGAGGCGAAGGTTACAATGAGCCGAGATCACTCCATTGCACTCCAGCCTGGGAGACAGGCAAAACTCCATCTCAAAAAAAAAAAAAAAAAAAAGTGTAGGGTTACCTCCCTAGCCCACACCTTCAGCTTCCAGCTCGACCACACCCAAGTTCTGTTCACTGTGTCTCAGCTCCATCCATGCCTCCCCCACAGGCTATTTCCTGCATAGTAGCTAGAGTGCTCTTTTCAAAGGAAAGTCAGACCATTTCAATCAGCTGATTAAAACTCTTCAGTGGCTTTCCACAGCTCATGGAAAGAAGTCCCAAGTGTAAAGTACAAGTCCTCGAGTTTGAAGGCCCAAGAACCAGGAGCTCTGATGTCCAAAGGCAGGAGAGATGGATGTCCTAGCTCAAAATGAGAGAGAATGGGCCGAGCATGGTGGCTCACGCCTGTAATCCTAGCACTTTGGGAGGCCAAGGCAGGCGGATCACCGGAGGTCGGGAGTTCGAGACCAACCTGACCAACATGGCAAAACCCTATCTCTACTAAAAGTACAAAATTAGCCAGGCGTGGTGGCACATGCTTGTAATCCCAGCTACTTGGGAGGCTGAGGCAGGAGAATGGCTTGAACCTGGGAAGCAGAGGTTGTGGTGAGCCGAGATCACGCCATTGCACTCCAGCCTGGGAAACAAGAGCAAAACTCTGTCCCAAAGGAAAAGAAAGAGAGAGAGAGAGAGAGAGAGAGAGTGAATAATTTGCTCTTCCTCCTCCTTTAAAAATTTTTTTTCACATAGAAATGGGGTCTTGCTATGTTGTCCAGCCTGGTCTCAAATTTCTGGCCTCAAGCAATCCTCCCACCTTGGCCTCCCAAAGTGCTGGGATTACAGGTGTAAGCCACTACATCCAGCACTTCCTCCACCTTGTTTTTCTATTTGGGCCCTCAAGAGATTGACTGATGCTCATCCACATTGGTGAGGGCTGATCTTCTTTACTCAGTCTCTGATTCAAATGCTAATCTCCTCTGGGAACATCCTCACAGACACACCCAGAAATAATGTTTTATCAACTATCTGGGCATCCCTTAGCCCAGTCAAGTTAACATATAAAATTAACCATCACGGGGCATAAGCCTCAAAGGAGTAGGAGTTTTTACAAGAGAGTAGAGAAGAAGTAATGATCTAGAAATAGTGATGAGAAGAAAGGAGGACAAGAACCTGTCCTGTAGTGGATAGTTGTGAGCACAGATTTAGTATCACAGAAGGCTGCTACAGAAGAGAACAGGCTTTAAGTCTGGGCATGGTGGCTAATGCCTGTAATCCCAACACTTTGGGAGGCCAAAGTGGGCAGATCAGTTGTGTTTAGGAGTTTGGGACCAGCCTGGGAAACATAGCAAGTCCTCATCTCTACTAAAAAAGTTTTAAAAATTAGCCGAGCATGGTGGTGCATGCCTGTAGTTCCAGCTACTTAGAAGGCTGAGGTGGGAGGATTGCTTGAGCCTAGAAGATTGAGGCTGCAGTGAGCCATGATCGAGCCACTGTACTCCAGCCTGAGTGATAGAGGGAGACCCTATCTAAGAAGAGAGAGAGATCAGGTTTTAATTAATGGAATGAAGTATGGAGAACGTTCCCAGAAGAGACGTGTAAGACACAGAGAAATTTGTTGATCACAGAGCAGGTGCTTCAGAGGCTACACTGGAGAGCTGGGAGTGGGCAGGTACATTCCAACAGTGGGGAACTGAGTCAGGAACAAGGAAATATGGAGTACTATGGGGATGATGGTGTAGTTGCAGTCATTCTCAAACTTTAATATGTATCAGAATCACAAAGAGGGCTTGTGAAAACACGGAGCACTAGGCCCCAGCCCCAGAATTTCTGATTGAGTAGATTTGGGGCTGGCCTGAGAACATGCATTACAGGTTCTCAAGTGAAATGGATGCTGCTGGTCCAAGGGCCACACTTTCAGACCACTGATGTAATGGAAGACCAGTGACAAATGTGGCAGCAGAAACAGTGATGAAAGGCCAGAGTGGATCACTCTTAGCCATCTCCTAAAGGATGTCAGGATCTAGCCTAATGGACAGAGGGCTTGGCTCCACTCATTGCAGGTGGTAGCAGCTTGACATCTGTGGCCTCAGTCCATTAAGTTGAGGCAATATTGAGGGTTTGGTCTTAATTTCAATAGTGTCAGCTTAGTCCCAGATAATATACCATGGGCTCCAGAAATCTGCTGCTATGGAGTAACTGTGACACATCCGCTTCAGGGGCCTAACACAAAGCAATGGTATCTTGTGAATTGGAGGATATTTATACTGAGTCCAGTGGAATCAGAGACCAGATTAAAGCTGCATCCTGGTAGGATTGTTGGTGCTTGGATTTTGAAGTCTCAGCAGTGATATAATCAGATGTCTGGCTCCGCCGACAAGCAGCAGTGGTGCTTGAAGCAGTCAAGGGCTGCCAGGTAATAGACAACTTGATCAGAACCCAGAGCTGCCAATAACTCTTAGGTCTTGGACTTCACATGCTGGCTCATAAAAATGAAGTCACAACTATGCCAGTACACCTCATCTTGATGCTCAAAGGCCTTACTGGATTGACTAGCAGGGATTCCAATCATTTCCAGTGTTTTCTCTGAAAGTATTTGGAAAGGGGTTGTAGAACTGAAAATTGGGATGCTCTTACAAGAATAATCTCATTGATACTTGGCTTGAATTCTGGGAAAGCTCCAAACCCTGACTTACTTGATTTGAAGGTGGTATGTTATCACTCAGGTTTCTCTCTTTCCTAACATTTGTGAAATTCCCAGGGAAAATTATACGTGCCCATAAATCACTCGTGGCCATTGTTTGCTGCTAGCCTGCTAGTAGAGGGACAAGTCATGTGTGCCCTTTCAGGAACAAACACAAATGGGAGTCACGATCATGCTGGAGGTTCAATCCTAACAGAATGTTAGAACTGCAGTAGGGAAAGGGGTGGCATTTGGAGTCAGAGAGCAGCCAACTCTCTGAGGACTGCAGGTGGAATCTTCCTCTGGCACCAATGTCCTAGAGGGGTACAAAGAACTCTACAAGGTCTTCTGAGGAGGCTAATGAGCCAAAGTTGATACTAACTTAACCTGTTAGTCCTCATGAAGAGAGTACAACTTGGGATAATTCTCCCTGCACTCATTTTGTGCGCACATTAATTAAAAAAAAATAGATACATGGTCTTGCCATGTTGCCCAGGCTGGTCTTGAATTCCTGGGCTCAGGCAGTCCTCCTGCCTTGGCTTCCCAAAGTACTGGGATTACAGGCATGAGTCACTGTACCCAGCCCTGCATGTTAAATTTTTTTTAAAAAGAAAAGAACAGGCTGGATGCAGTAGCTCATGCCTGTAATCCCAGTACTTTGGGAGGCCGAGTTGGGTGGATCACCTCAGGTCAGGAGTTCGAGACCAGCCTGGCCAACATGGTGAAACCCCATCTCTACTAAAAATACAAAAAATTAGCCTGGCGTGGTGGCAGGCGCCTGTAACCTCAGCTGGGCGGGAGGCTGAGGCAGGAGAATTGCTTGAACCCAGGGGGTGGAGGTTGCAGTGAGCCAAGATGGTGCCATTGCACTTCAGCCTGGGTGACAGAGCAAGACTCTGTCAAAAAAAGAAAAAAAAAAAGGGAAAAGAACAAAACCAACTTAACCAACTTCACTTCTGTTACTTCTCAAGATAAGACTAGATTTTTATTGCCCCCCCCCCTTTAATTGGCTATGGAAAAACAGTGGGGCCACTCAGAAATACCTGTGTGTAACCTTGCTCGGGGCTAGTGCAGGGCAAGTCCTTACAGAGCCAGGGACTTACCAGGACATAAAATATCTGCCTCATGAGTCTTAGAAGGTCTAAAAGTATAGTACTATGTGCCCTCTGGGCATGCATGCTCAAGTTAACTGGAAATTAGGGCAAGTAAGCAGAGCTTGGCAACAGAATTTGAATATACTCCCAGAGGTTCTCCATTGTGGAGTTTAGGGAATTAGGCATCCATTCATTTAAATAAATATTTATGGGCACAATCAGAATCACCAGGAGCAGTTTTTTTCCCCTAAAATACACATGTCTTTATAAGCTTGCTTTGCACAGTCCTTCAGAGGCTATTTATTTCTTCCCACACACTATGCCTGAAATTTAAGTAATATAAAAAAGATGAATGATGGTACCCATGTAGGATTACATGTCAAAATGGATTGTTATTCTTAAGTCTTAGGTAACTACTCTGATAAAACGTCCTCAATAGATTCTCTGCAGAAATCATTAATAAAGCAATTGCTAATTGTAGAGAAAAAAAGAAATAAACCCAATAAGGTCAAGTACTTTCTTATAATAATTATGGCCACCATTTACTGACCACCTACTCTGTGCCAAGAACACATCTTGTATGTTTTCTTTTCTATTCTATTCTTTTTTTTTTTTTGACAGAGTCTCACTCTGTCACCCAGGTTGGAGTACAGTGACGCGATCTTGGCTCACTGCAGCCTCTACCTCCTGGGCCCAAGCAGTCCTCCCACCTCAGCCACCTAAGTAGCTGGGACCACAGGCGTGCCACCATGCCCGGCTAATTTTTTGTGTTTTTTGTAGAGACGGGGTCTTGCCATGTTGCCTAGGCTGAGCTTGAACTTCTGAACTCAAGTGATTCACCTGCCCTGGTCTCCCAAAGTGCTGGGATTACAGGTGTGAGCCACCATGCCTGGCTTATATGTTTTTATTTAATCTCTACAATGACCCAGTGAGGCGGGTTACTCTCTCCATTTTACCAAAAAGAGAACATGGAGACTTGGAGAGTTTACATGTTCAGCTTAGTTTACATGATCTAGAGCTACAGTTTAGATCAGAGTAAACTGAGGCTTTGTCTGATGTTGGGCCTAAAATTTAGAGGGACAAGAAAACAATTATTTTAAAATGCTACATTTTAAAGTGGCTTCTTCCTTTAGGAAAGAGTTTCCACCTTTATATCCCTACCTCTGGCTTTGGTGGCAAGCTTTCCTGTATACTGGGACACCGCCCTTTGGCAACCTACCGAGATCTGACTATGTGAGAACCCTCACTGCCTTTCCATTTCTGCTTTAAGATAAATGTTATGCTCTTTGTCATGGTGCTGGATTTGAGCCCAGCTGAATGTTTTTTGTTTTTTGTTTTTTTTTTCTTTTTTGAGACGGAGTCTAGCTCTGTCACCCAGGCTGTAGTGCAGTGGCATGATCTCAGTTCACTGCAACCTCCACCTCCCGGGTTCAAGTGATTCTCCTGTCTCAGCCTCCCAAGTAGCTGGGATTACAGGTGCCCACCACCACGCCCAGCTAATTTTTGTACTTTTAGTAGAGATGGGGTTTCACTGTGTTGGCCAGGCTGGTCTCGAACTCCTGACCTCATGATCTGCCCGCCTCGGCCTCCCAAAGTGCTGGGATTACAAGTGTGAGCCACCGCCCCCGGCCCTGAATGTTGGTCTTTAAAGACCAAGGAAACTATCTTTTCCTCCTGTTCCTTTTCTTCCTCTTCCCCCTCCTTTTTAAAAATTAAACTTCTGCTACTTATAGAAAACAAATCTCATCTAACATAGAAACTTCACTTAGAGCCAAAAGCCTTCTAGAACTTGGGGCCTTAACACAGCTTGGCTTTCAAAGCTTTGGAGCTGGAAGCCAGACTGAAGTGCCTGAGCCTGGAGTTTGCTACATCTGCTCTTGGATGCTGCCAGCTCACTCAGTTGAAATCTGAGTTCTGTAAAGAGAAGTTTCTGCTCAACAATGTCACCCTGGCACTCGGCCTCTATGCCTGCTGAAACTCTGGCAGGCTACAGCCTGGACTAGGGCTGTTGGTCATTTCCTCAAGGTGCTCTAAGCCAAGATCACCCTGCATTCCCTCTGCATAGCTCCTCAGTGTCAACTCTTGAAGCCTCCCTTCAAGGGCATTGAGGCACGACCCAGAACCTTCAGTTTCCTTAGCATGAGGCAGAAGTGAACCCACTGGTTCAGGATCTTCAGGCTCTTCCTATCGTCATGGGGAGTTTTTCTGTTTTTTTTTTTTTTTTTTTTTTTTGGTCTTTCCTATCATAAGTGCTTTGTAAGGGTCACCCAAGTCCACCCTGGCAGGTTCCATTAACTTTCAGTTTCAGACTACGAAGGTGAAAAACTTGATCTTTTCCAGAAGATTTCAACTCCAGGAAGGTATATTGAGATGACGTAAGGCCAACGGTGCTGGTGAATGTTTAACAACCAGCTCTCTGGGGGAAAGGTGTGTGCACGTGTGTGATATTGTGAAATATGCATTTGGTCGTCTTCCCTATTTTCTGGCACAGAACTCCCAAGACCTTTGTAAATAGGGGTGCTAGGAGAGTCTTTTGTTCTGCTATTTGGTCTTTGACCCCAGTTCCTGACACAGAGCTCCTAAGACATTTGCTATTTCCTGAATAGTAGCAGCATCTTTCATTCGAATGAGGTGACTCTCAGTGGGGCTCCTGGATAGCCTTGGGATGGGGGCTGGTTGCCAGGGGAACCAATCATGTAATTAGAGGACTAAAATCTTCAGGCCCACTCCCTGATCTCTGGGGAGAGGAGAGGAGAGGAGCTGAAGATTGAGCAGATCACCATTAGCAAGGCTTTAACCAGTCGTATTTACGAAATGAAGCCTCCATAAAAATCCAAAAGGACTGGTTTTGGAAAGCTACCAGGTTGGCAAACACATCTGTGTGCCAGGAGAATGGTGCACTGACCCTCCATGGGGACGGAAGCCCTTGAGCTTGGGACCCCGCCAGACCTCACTCTATGTGTCTCTCATCTGGCTGTTCACCTGTCTCCTTTATTATATTATTTGTTAATAAACATAAGTAAAGTGTTTCCCTGAGTTCTGTGAGTGGCTCTAGCAAATTAATTGAACCTGAGGAGGGGTCTGTGGGAACTCTAATGTATATAGCTGGTCAGTCACAAGCACAGTCACACTCTGTGATTGCGACTGGCAGCTGAAGTAGGGGGCAGTCTTGTGGGACGGAGCCCTCAACCTATGGGATCTGATGCTAACTCTAGGTAGACGGTGTCAGAAGTGAATTGAATTAGAGGACACCCATCTAGTGCCTGTTAGAAGATCTGCCAGGGAATTGCTTGGTGTGTGAGGAAAAAAACCCCACACATCTGGTGTCAGAAATGTTGAATGACTGTATGAAAGTAGAGAGTAGGAAAAACAGTTTGTTTTTACATGTGTATATATGTATCTATATATCTATATATATAATGTATATATGTGTATATATATCTATATATCTATACATATATATCTATATATCTATACATATATCTATATATCTATACATGTATAGATATACATGTATAGATATACATATCTATACATGTATAGATATACATGTATAGATATACATATCTATACATATCTATACATGTATATACATATCTATACATGTATATACATATCTATACATAGATATACACGTATACGTATATATCTATACATATACGTATACACACATACATACATGTATACATGTACATACATACATGTATACATGTACATACATATATACATACACACGTATATATGTACATACATGTATATATGTGTATATATACATCTATATATCTATATATCTATATATACATATATACATGTATATATGTGTATATATACATCTATATATCTATATATAGATGTATATATACATATATATGTATATACGTATATATCTATACATATATACGTGTATATACGTATATATACGTCTATATACGTCTATATACGTGTATATACGTGTATACACGTATATATGTATAGATATATACGTATATACATATATACATATATATACGTATACGTATACGTATATATCTATACGTATATACACATGTATATATAGATATATACATGTGTATATATACACATATATATATAGATATATACATGTGTATATATACACATATATACATGTATATACGTATATATAGATATATAGATATATAGATGTATATATACACATATATACATGTATATATGTATATATACATATATAGATGTATATATACACATATATACATGTATATATGTGTATATATACATATATGTACATATATACGTGTGTATGTATATATGTATGTACATGTATACGTGTATGTATGTACATGTATACATGTATGTATACATGTACATATATACTTGTATGTATATATATCTATATATAGATATATATTGATATATAGATATATATACATGATATTTAGCTTGCATTTTAATGTAATGAATAATACACAACTTACAAATAAGATATATAATACTTTTTATTTTGTTTTTTATTTGTTTTGCTTGTTTGTTTTTTTGAGACAGAGTCTTACTCTGTCCCCCAAGCTGGTGTGCAATGGCACAATCTCGGCTCACTGCAACCTCTGCCTCCCAGGTTCAAGTGATTCTCGTGCCTCAGGCTCCTAAGTAGCTGGGATTATAGGTGCACGCCACCATGCCCAGCTAATTTGTTGTACTTTTAGTAGAGATGGGGTTTCACCATGTTGGCCAGGCTGGTCTCAAACTCCTGACCTCAAGTGATCCCCCCGCCTAGGCATCCCAAAGTACTGGGATTACAGGCGTGAGCCACTGCACCCATCCAATATTTTTTGTTTTGAATTATATATATAGCCAATTGATTATCACAAAATGCTTTTATTGATTTTTGCCTCTTATGTCCATGGCCAACCCATGGTTGTAACTGACAAACAAGAGTAGTTCTGGCGTGAATGTTGGTTAATGTTTTCCTTACCACTAATCAGTGAGAAGAAAATGAACCAATAATGATGTCAGAACTTCACTTGTTTATCAATACATGAATGACTTCTTTACTGAGTGAGATAATATATTTTGAATATTGGAAGAACATTTCTTCAATTTTATGTGCTGTTCACAATGTAATGGTTATAGACACTACACTCTTTTAAGTTTAAACTACATTATTTACATTTTCTACATCACTTTCTTAAGAATAGACAGTAAATCAAACCCTGATTGGTAGTGTTTGCTGATTTCCCTGGTGTAAATATACTCCCACCACAGCCAATTGTAAGCTAACAACGAGATGTCACTGAATGAACAGTTGGGAAGAAATGTGCCATAGAACACTATTATGAAGTTTTGTACTGTGACAGATAAAATAGGTGTAAAAACCTCAAGAACATAGGTACTAGCAGAATGTATTTAATAGTAAAATAATTAGAAAGCAATGCATTTTGAATATATGTGATCTTTGTTTTAAATATAACTTATTTAATGGCAAGTTTACATAATGTAATTTTTAATAACTTCTAGTTAACAATTGGCTTGCAAATTTCCTAAAAATTTAACAATTGATCCTAACAAGCCAGTACAAATTGGCCTCTTCAACACCACTGGGTAAATCAAACCAAAGGCAATACATTCAGTTTAGTGTTATTCTCAGTCATGGGGATCATATACATATTTCCTGTTTCAAGTATCTGTGATGGCCATTAGTGCTATTCCTATGAAGTATTTCTAGTTCTCCACCTTATGAATAGAGAAATATGATAAGAGTATACTTTCCTGATTCTTTGGAGTTAGTAGTGGCCAAGAAGACTTGTTTTAGCCAAGGAAATGTGAGCAGAAATAGCATATGTCACTTTAGGGTGAGAGCTGAAGAACTACGGTTTGCTTTGGCACTCTCTCTCTTCCTCTACCACAGTGCCAGCAGTGCTCCATTTAGCGTCTTCTCCATTGGTGTGGGCCCCAGAGCGAGCAGGGCCTGAAGCAGACCCCCTCAGCTAACCCAAAGTGAATAGGTAGTAGGAGTGATAAATCAAATTATTGTTTTCAGTCACTGAGATTTTTGGAATTGTTTTTTTTTTTTTTTTTTTTTGAGACGAAGTCTCTCTTGTCCCCAGGCTGGAGTACGATGGTGCAATCTCGGCTCACTGCAACCTCCACCTCCTGGGTTCAAGCGATTCTCCTGCCTCAGCCTCCTGAGTAGCTGGGATTACAGGCACCTGCCACCACACCCAGCTAATTTTTGTATTTTTAGCAGAGACGGGGTTTCACCATGTTGACCAGGCCGGTCTCTAACTCCTGACCTCAGGTGATCCGCCCACCGCGGCCTCCCAAAGTGTTGGGATTACAGGCATGAGCCACCGTGCCTGGCTAGAATTGTTCGTTACTGCAGCATGACCTCAGAGCATCCTGGCTGATACGGTACCTAATATTTAAGAGAACTGGCATATTAGAGAGTCTCACAAATTAGCTTGTTTTACCTGAAATATGCAATTTATTTTAGACTAATTTTAAGCTGCAGGATGTAAAATAGTTTTTAACAGAATTAAACTCTTTACAAGAGAAGCTGATTTACCACATTAATGGATTTGATTTGTTACATATATAAGAACTACTTAAGTGCTTAAAAAGATTTTACAAGTATGAGTTGTAAGTCTGTCCTGTAAATTACTTGAAGTGCTTGCTGATGGGAGGTATTATGCAAAGTTATTTCAAAATATTTAAATGGATTTAATTACTACATTTGTAAACGGTACTAGTTATTTGGGAAAATTTCATCTGGTAAACTTTAAGTAACTAAATATCAAAGAACATTACTTGATTTATAGCTAAAACAAGATTTATAAGTTAAACATAAACTTAAGAAAAAATATTTGTTAATTTATACATTTTAAAAATTGAATACTAATTTAGAGCCTAAGTAACTGTGAGTAGTCCTTTTCAAGCAAAACTACCCTGTTTGATCATTTTTAAAAATTCAATTAATGGGCTGGACATGGTGACTCATACCTGTAGTCTCAGCACTTTGGGAGTCCGAGGCAGGAGGATCACTTGAGTCCAGAAGTTCAAGACCAACCTGGGTAACATGGTAAAACTCCATCTTTACAAAAAATTAGCCAGGCATGGTGGCACATATCTGTAGTCCCAGTTACTTGAGAGGCTGAGGTGGGAGGATCACCTGAACCCAGGGGGTTGAGACTGCAGTGAGCCATGATCACACCACTGCACTCCAGCTTGGGTGACAGAGTGAGGCCCTGTCTCAAAAAAACAAAACAAAACAAAACAACAACAACAATGAAAAAAACCTCATTTAGTGGCCATTTTTCACATTTCAAGATATAGTGAAAAGAATGTTCAACTAAAACTTGAGACCAAAATTTTATTTCTGATCTATCCAACAAATAGTTAAGGCCCTTGAAGAAGTTTTTAAAACTTTTAGAATCATGCCAAATGAGAAAGTTGGCTGGATAATCTCTCTGATTTAATTTTTATGATGCCTTTTCTTTTGGTTATCTACTGTTGCATAACAAATTATCACAAAATTTGATGGCTTAGAACAACTTTGTTTGTTTGTTTGTTTGTTTTAAGATGGTGTCTCACTCTGTCACCCAGGTTGGAGTGTAGTGGCACCATCTTGGCTCACTGCAACTTCCGCCTCCTGGGTTCAAGCGATTCTTCTGCCTCAGCCTCCCGAGTAGCTGGGACTACAGGTGCGAGCCACCACGCCCAGCTAATTTTGTATTTTGATAGAGACAGGGTGTCACCATATTGGCCAGGCTGGTCTCAAACTCCTAGACCTTGTGATCTGCCTGCCTCAACCTCCCAAAGTGCTGGGATTACAGGTGTGAGCCACCACGCCTGTCTGGCTTAGAACAACTTTTTAAGAAATCTCACAAAAATTAGCCGGGTGTGGTGGTGCATTCCTGTAATCCCAGCTACTCAAGAGGCTGAGGTAGGAGAATCACTTGAACCTGGGAGGCAGAGGTTGCAGTGAGCTGAGATTGCGCCACTGCACTCCAGCCTGGGTGACAAAGTGAGACTCCGTCTCAAAAAAAAAAAAAATCTGGCAATTCTGTGGGTTGACTGGGCTCAGCTGGATGGTTTTTCTGCCTCTTGTGATGTCATCTGGAACTGTAGTCATTTGGAGGCTCAATCAGGTTAGAATGTCTGATAGGGCTCACTCACATGCTTGGCACCCTAGTAAGGATGGTTGGGATATTGGATTCAGCTAGAATGTTGGGAGAACTGGCCCTCTTTCTCTACAGTCTCAGAGCTTCTCTCTCCCCACGTGGTCTCTCCAACAGAGCAATCAGATTTCTTTTCATGGTGACTCAAGAATCTTCAATGTGCAATGCAATGCAGAAACCATCAGACTTTCTCAAGGCTTAGGCTCAGAACTGAGACAACCTCACACTTTCACTGCATTCTATTGGTTAAAGCAAATAGCAGGGTCAGCCCAGATTAATTGTGGGAAGAGACTGCACAAGGGTGTGGCTACTAAGAGGAGGAGTTTATTTCAGTCATCTTTGGAAAATGGCTACCAAACCTTCAAATGTGAATATTCTATGACTTAATTTCCATCTAATCTCTACTCTTATCAATACTCCTTCCCTACTCTGGCAGATGAAGCATTTCACATATATAGTGTATGATTTTCACATTTTTTTTAGTAGGATTAGAGTGAAATATATCTGTGCATTTGTGTATTTACATGTGCCAAAAGCAGAGTGGAAAGATATAATATAAAATTTAATTTCATTTATTTGTGATTTTGTATTTACAAGTGATCCATTTTGTGGGGTACCAGAAAGGCTTTAAGAATAATATAAAAAGTCAAAAAGATTTAAGAATAAGATATGTAGGCTGGGTGTGGTGGCTTACGCCTGTAATCCCAGCACTTTGGGAGGCCGAGGCAGGTGGATCACCTGAGGTCAGGGGTTTGAGACCAGCCTGGCCAACGTGGTGAAACCTCATCTCTACTAAAAATACAAAAAATTAGCCAGGCATGGTGGTGGGCACCTGTAATCCCAGCTACTCAGGAGGCTGTGGCAGGAGAATTGCTTGAACCCAGGAGGCAGAGGTTGCAGTGAGCCACGGTTGCACCATTGCACTCCAGCCTTGGCAACAAGAATGAAACTCCATCTCAAAAAAATAAAAAATAAAAAATAAGATATGTAAATGTGTGTGCACACATGTGTAGGTGTATCTCTGCATGTTTGGTATAAAGATTTTTTCACCCAAAGGAGCTTCACTTGTTTCAGTTTCTGGAATTGCCTTTGAAGCTGACTCCTTGGTTTTGGGATGCTCACCACAATGGATATCTTATTCATTTATATACAAGGCTAGTAATATTCACCCATTAATCTTGAAGAAAGCTGTACAGCTCACCTTAAGTTTGCATGCTCATGCTACACACTGAGATTTTTGTATTCTGCTCAGTAACGCAAATTGAGCTTTCCTTTAGCCAGCCTGCACGCCTTTGAAGAAGGTGAAGAAATGGCTTTCTTAAATTTTAGTGATTTAGATTAGACCGTTTAGCAACTATAGGGAAGCACAGTAAACTATCGTGATTGCCTCATTGCATGGTGAGGTCTGTGTTTAACTCTATGAGAATTCAAGGGTGATAACTGTTCCTGCTTGGGGCAAACACTTCTATGTTGAGCAAGGGGTGAATGCTAGATGTTTTTCTGACCAGTTACCCCCACAGGTCATTGCTGAGGGACGTGGTGATGGCAGCAGTGAATCACTAGTTCCTAGGACTGACTAGGTAGCTGGGTTTCAGGGGTAATGACGTGCAACAGGCCCAACAGACATCACCGAGAATGGGCACCTGTGAGATTCTAAGAACCTCAGGACAAAAAGACTTCCTGCAAGTCCAAGTCCTGACTATGACGAGATATGACCTATGTTATACTCCAAACTAGTGAAATGGAATATTTCCATCCTTTTAAGACTTATGCTTTTTTATTATTAGCTTTTTTTTTTTTTTGAGACGAAGTCTCGCTCTTGTTGCCCAGGCTGGAGTGCAATGGGTGCGATCTTGGCTCACTGCAACATCTGCCTCCCAGGTTCAAGTGATTCTCCTGCCTCAGCTTCCTGAGTAGTTGGCATCACAGGCACCTGCCACCATGCCCGGCTAATTTTTGTAGTTTTAGTAGAGACAGGGTTTCACCATGTTGGCCAGGCTGGTCTCTAACTCCTGACCTCAGGTGATCCGCCCATTTCGGCCTCCCAAAGTGCTGGGATTACAGGTGTGAACCACCACACCTGGCCTAAAATTGTTTTATTTCAATAAAGCACCAATAGAATTCCATTTGCAGTGGTATAGTGTGTATACCTTTGTAATTAACAACACCAAGTAGATAGATAGGCTTCCTTCACACTGTAAAACATTATTTATTTTGAAATTATTAAAGAGTCACAGGAAATTGCAAAAATAGTACAGAGAGATCCCTTGTATTCTTTATTGTTTGTTTGTTTCCCATGTACCCTTTACTCAGTTTATCTCATGGTAACATCTTACATAACTATATTGGTATTTTTCAAATTTTCTATAAGATTTTATAATAGAAAAAGAAAGTCTTTTTCCAGTTATTGAAGGTTTTTGTTTTAAACTTTTGTTCTGAATTAGGTCTCTATCCTTGCTATACATACTTCATCTAATCTAACTCTCTGCGTATCACCAGAGGTGATATTCGAAATATTTAAAGATATTGAAAAATTAGTTCTGCTTTAAGTATGTCCAGTTGGAATACAGCCTGGTTCCAAGAACTAAAACAGAGCCCTGGGCATTCATGCTTCAGCTCTTCAGTCTCTAGATCATGAAGATATCTGGGAAAGGGAGGTAGGGAAGGTGGCTCTTGATCAACAGTATGGACATGTTTCAGCATCTGGACCATCATGCAGCTGTGCTGGAGAGCACCAGCTCATACCCAGCCCATATTTTCCTGTAATGCATTCATCCCATTGCTTTGAATTCATTGGATTATCCTTATTTGCCTCCTAAATATATTATCAGCTCTTTGAAAGCAAAGGCATATGCTTAATTTAACTCTAGAGCTCAGCATTGTGCCTTACTCAATATGTGACAAATTACTATTATTATTTTGAGACAGAGTCTTACTCTGTCGCCCAGGCTGGAGTTCAGTGGCACGATCTCGACTCACTGCAACCTCAGCCTCCTGGGTTCAAGTGATTCTCCTGCCTCAGCCTCCTGAGTAGCTGGATTACAGGCACATTCCACCACGCCCGGCTAATTTTTGTATTTTTGTAGAGACGGGGTGTCACCATGTTGGCCAGGCTGGTCTTGAACTCCTGACCTCGTGATCCGCCCACCTTGGCCTCCCAAAATGCTGGGATTACAGGCGTGAGCCATGACGCCCAGCCGTGACAAATTATTAATACATAAATGAAATGTTAAGTTCTAGTCCTGGGCCTGTCCTTAAACTAGCTGCATGAGCCTAGGCAGGTAACTCACTCTGCTCTCAGGATCCTCTTCTGTAAAATAAGATTCTTAAAATTTTCGGTCCCTTTGAGCTCTAAAGCTTCATAAGGAGTTTGCTAAGAGTTTCAAGAATTGCAATACTAATGGAAAACCTAGTGATAAAATAAAATTAAATCTTGGCAAATATCTGAGTGTCTATTATATGCAAAATACATAATTTTAAAAAATCTGGTGGGAAAGAAAAATGACTAAACAATCTTGCTTATGAAGAAATCAGTCTAGTGAAGACCATCTGCTATAATACTGTGATACAAGACAGAATGAAATAAGTGCTATAGGTGCTATAATATTATAATAAGGGCTATAATAGGCACACAAATAAGGCATTTCAGAAGTACATAGAAAGGAGCAATGCACTTTAATTGCCATCTAATTGTCACAACTCTGTGACATTTGTAACCAATTTCTTCCTCAAATTCCATGATTTAACTAATAAAGATTGAAAATATGGTATTGAGTGAATAAATAATATTTTAAGGCCATCGTTATTCATGGCACATGGTAAGTTATCTTTAAATATTTTTACAGTAGCTATCATCCTTTGAGCTGCTATTATCAACAGTTTGATAATATTTATGTGCATTGGGTTAAGAAATTTAAACATATCTCAGTAAATTTTCATCACAATCCCACGAAGTAGGTATATTAATTTTACAGATGAGGAAATCAATCAAGTAATTTACCTGAGGTCATACAGTTAGTAAGTGGCCATGCCCAGATTCAAATGAGGTTTGTCAGCTCCAAAGCTCTTGCTTTTTTTTTCTTTGTATATACAGAAAGAAAGTATAAAGCATTTGCTCTTAACTGCCATTTAAAAATAATGCACATCATAGCACTTTTAGTGACAAATATAAGATCATATAACTTTCACCAATATCAATAACAGAAAGGTAATATTAGTAAATGGGATGTCCTGGTACAAATTTTCCAGGATCATGAACCATTTGTCAGATTTTTACCCAGTATATGATTTTATTATTTATTTTATTTTATTTTTCTCCACCTGGCACTGAATTTGCACAGATTTTATCAAATACAGCACTTCAAAAATGTGAATTTAGTTTGGGTATAATTTTCCCAGGAAATACCAGTCAAAAATATTTTTACCAGTTCTTGTGTGCCAGTTACAGATTTAATGCCTCACAGCTCCAAATTCAACCTTTTTGCCTGTTCTGTGAAAATAGGCCTGGGCCTTTAAATATTTGTCCTTTGCCAGCTGACACTGAAGTTTGTCATAGAGGGAGCTGGAGAGACATTGCAGGAAAAAAGGATTTTTTTTTTTTTTTGAGACGGAGTCACCCAGGCTGGAAGCTCTGCCTCCCGGAGTCACGCCATTCTCCTGCCTCCCTAGTAGCTGGGACTACAGGCGCCCGCCACCAGGCCCGGCTAATTTTTTTTTGTATTTTTAGTAGAGACGGGGTTTCACCACGTTAGCCAGGATGGTCTCGATCTCCTGACCTCGTGATCCACCCGCCTCGGCCTCCCAAAGTGCTGGGATTACAGGAGTGAGCCACCGTGCCTGGCCAGAAAGAAGGATTTTATTTCTTGGTTCCTGCAGCATGCTTGAGTTACTGTGTAGCTTCCTCTAATACCAGGCCCCTTGGGCAGCACACGTCACTTCCCTGGTGGCCAGCTCCTATTGCATGAGGTGCTTCTCTAGTGTCCTACCCTTGAAGTGCATGGCAGCTCAGCAGCCAGGTTCCCCTGGTATCCTCCTCAGTGCTTCTATAGTGGCATGCACTCGAGGGAGCAGATTTCCAGCATGCTTTACTAATATAGCACCATGATGGACTTCTAAGCCATCTAATAAGCCATGGCCAAGCCCTCTCCAATAAGACCTGGATCTCAACTTTGGGGGCTATGGGGAATGGCTATTAGATGTACTGTTATATATTAGACCTGCATATATATATGTGCATATTTCCTATATTCTTTAGATTTCTCTTTTTACTAATGCATCCGTCATTACTCCAATCTCCTGTCCTGCCTCAGCCTCCTGAGTAGCTGGGATTACAGGCATGTACTACCACACCTGGCTAATTTTGTATTTTTAGTAGAGATAGGGTCTCACCATGTTGGCCAGGCTGGTCTTGAGCTCCTGACCTCAGGTGATCTGCCCACCTCGGCCTCCCAAAATGCTGGGATTACAGGTGTGAGCCACTGCACCCGACTTTTTTTTTTTTTTTTTTTGAGGGGGAGTCTCATTCTGTCGCCCCAGCTGGAATGCAGTGGCATGATCTCAGCTTACTGCAACCTCTGCCCTCCTGGGTTCAAGCGATTCTCCTGCCTCAGCCTCCAGAGTAGCTGGGACTATAGATGCGTGCCACCACACCTGGCTAATTTTTTTTTTTTTTAGTATTTTTAGTAGAGACAGGTTTCGCCACGTTGGCCAGGCTGGTCTTGAACCCCGACCTCAGGTGATCCGCCCGCCTTGGCCTCCCAAAGTGCTGGAATTATAGGTGTTAGTCACCGCACCTGGCCATATTTCTATTAGGCTTTCTCTGCCGTAATTCCTATTTGGTTTCCCTCTCCTGATTACACCCAGACTGATATACCTTGGTAAAAATCACAACTTATACCCTACTCTCTTATTTCTCAGTCAACTCAAAAAAGATAAACAAATGCCATGCATTTTAATTTCCTTTTGACATCTGAATTGTCCTGGAGTTTTACCTCCTCCATTTTGCTCCCCCTCCCACAAAGTCCTTCTTGATATACCCTATATTTTAGCTTCAGAGACTGTGGTGCTATTCTACAGAACAGACTGTGTTCTTGCCCATTCTCATAGACCCCAGTTCTTCTGCCCAGAATCTGTCCTTCCTGTAATGTTCTTCTTTTTTTTTTTTTTTTTGAGATGGAGTTTTGTTCTTGTTGCCCAGGCTAGAGTGCAATGGCGCCACCTTGGCTCACCGCAACCTCCGCTGCCCGGGTTCAAGTGATTCTCCTGCCTCAGCCTCCCAAGTAGCTAGGATTACAGGCATGTGCCACCACTCCTGGCTAATTTTGTATTTTTAGTAGAGATGGGGTTTCACCATGTTGGTCATGGCTGGTCTCGAACTCCCAACCTCAGGTGATCTGCCCGCGTCAGCCTCCCAAGTGCTAGGATTACAGGCGTGAGCCACCGTGCCCGGCCCCTGTAATGTTCTTAAAGAATCCCCACTTACCTTCAAGATCCAACTCCAGTATTATCTTTGCGAAGCTTCTTTGGCAGAGTTTTTCACAGATCTCTATTTTAGCAGTTAGCACACAGTATTTTATTTTTTCCAATAGACTAAAAGCTCCTTGAAGACAAGGACTGTGTCCTGTTTATTTTTATACTCCAAGCTCCTAGAATAGTGCCCAACACAAGTAGGAAATCAGTAAATGTTTGTCGAATAAATGTGTCTGCATATGATGCAAGAGATGGAAAATTTTCAAAGCCATTATTATTTATGATAATTGGCTATGACACAACTCAGCATTTCCTTTCTGACCATGTTATGAAAGTTATGGCAACTCAGGCCAGGCACAGTGGCTCACGCCTGTAATCCCAGCACTTTGGGAGGCCGAGGCGGGCAGATCACGAGGTTAGGAGTTTGAGACCAGTCTGACCAACATGATGAAACCCCGTCTCTACTAAAAATACAAAAATTAGCCGGGCATGGTGACGAGCACCTGTAATCCCAGCTACTCAGGAGGCTGAGGCAGGAGAATCATTTGAACCAGGGAGGCAGAGGTTGCAGTGAGCTGAGATCGTGCTACTGCTCTCCAGCTTGGGCGACGGAGTGAGACTCTGTCTCAAAAAAAAAAAGAAAGAAAGAAAGAAAGAAAGTTACGGCAACTCAGAGAATCAATTCTGCTCTCTGCTCTTGCAATTATTAGGACCTCCAGAGTCTGACTTACTCTGATCAGCTTAAAACCAGAATAGTCTCAAGTTTCTGTCCCTGGACCAACAAGGCAAGATGCTATTCCTAGCCTCAAGGTCTTATCTCAGTTCCTTACCTAGGGCGACTATATCAATAACCATGTGTCTTTAGTTAGCCAGCCTAGGGAGATCTTGGTGAGTTAACTACTGTCTTTTTTTTTTTTTTTGAGACATGGCCTCACTTTGTTGTCCAGGCTGGAGTGCAGTGGCACGAACATGGCTCACTGCAGCCTCAAACTCCCAGGCTCAAGTGATCCTCCTGCCTCAGCCCACCAAGTATCTGGGACTTCAGGCACGAGCCACCACACCCGGCTAATTTTTCTCTGACTTGTAGAGATGGGATTTTGCCGTATTTCCCAGGCTGGTTTTGAACTCCTGACCTCAGGTGATCCACCCGCCTCAGCCTCCCAAAGTGCTGGGATTACAGGTGTGAGCCACCATGCCCAGCCTTAACTGTCTTTTTAAACTTCACCTTTCTCACCTATACCTAACTCATGGAGGATGATTACATGAGACAATGCAAATAAAGCTTGCATGGTGCCTGACACCAAATGATCATTCAAATATTAGGTGCTAATAACATTCCCTTGTGCCCAGGGTTGCCAGAATTCCAACAGATCCTCCTTGTTCTTTTTCCCGGTTTGGAGATGGATCCCAGCCTGGACATTCTGACAGTGCATTCCTGGCAGCTTTGGAGATCTGGACAGCAGTCTTTACCCATTCTCTGCTACATAATGCCCAATTTATGATTTGGGCATCTCCAGTTCATCTCCTTGGAGCCCAGCCCATGCCACATCTCAGATTCACCTCTGTAAACCCACAGGTTTTATAGGTCATTCAGGATCCCTCAAGTCTCTCTCTGTCTCCTTTACCAGCTCTTGGCCTCTCCCACCCTGTATTCTCTCCCCACAGCTGATCACAGTCCAGCACATACAGTGACAGTTCAAAAGGAACAAAAGCAGAAGAAATTTCAGATCTTTTCCTCCCCAAAGCAGAATTTGTTGGGAAATTTCTAATCAGAAATAAATGATCCTGGGGTTTCAATATAATTGACGCGGAAGTAAGTGTGCTGCTAACCAGTATCTGTTTTTCTGTTTTCGTTGCCTGGAGAGGAGGAAACATTGGCTAGAGCTTCTCTATGCCTCAGAGACTTTGGACCAGCCTCTCTGGCTTCCTTCACTGATAACTGACTTTCAGCATGGCCCTGAAAGAGTTTAAGTCCTAGCCCTGTCTCTTGCTGTGTAAGCACGGGCAAGTTTCTTAACTCCTCTAATTCTCAATGTTTCCATCTATAAAATAAGATGGTCATAAGAGTGGTGGCTACTAGAAAAAAATTAGGCCCGGCATGGTGGCTCACACCTGTAATCCCAGCACTTTGGGAGGCCAAGGCGGGTGGATCACCTGAGGTCAGGAGTTTGAGACCAGCCTGACCAACATGGAGAAACTCCATCTCTATTAAAAATACTCAAAAATTAGCTGGGCGTGGTGGTGCATGCCTGTAATCCCAGCTACTCAGGAGGCTGAGGCAGGAGAATCGCTTGAACTTGGGAGGTGAGGTTGTGGTGAGGGGAGATCGTGCCATTGCACTCCAGCTTGGGCAACAAGAGCGAAACTCCATCTTGTAAATAAATAAATAAATAAATAAATAAGAAAATTAGATGATACACAGAAATTACTCAGCAAAGTACCTGGTACAGAATAAGCACCCAATTGAGAGTTAGATCTCTCTCTTTTTTTAAAATGGAGCCCAAATGGTCCAGAAATAATTAAAAAAAGGGAAGACACTGCCATCATGGTAGAATGCTTATATAGACCTGCAGAAAACGTCTTCCTGGAGGCCTATGGCAAAGGTGGGTTTTGAATAACTGTGTGACCTTTTTAGGTACCTTATGGATACTCAGAAGCTCCAGACTCATAAACTCAGGCATCTTTTTTTTCTTTACTGCCAGACATTACTGAGTTTTTCCAAATTGTGGTGAAATTTACCATTTTAACTATTTTTATCTTGGGCCATATTTAGCACTGTCCACAACTCTTGTAAAATGATCACGGATTAGTTAGGACTCCTTGTATTTCAAGATATAGAAAATTCATTTTAAAAAAGAGGGGAATAATGGGTTTATTTAACTGAAAGTACGGTGAAATCTGACTTTATGTATAATTTGATCCAACAGCTCAACTCATTTCAACTAAGGACTTGTTTCTCTCCATATTTTTTCTCTGCTCTCTGCTCTACTGGTTTTATTCTCCACAAAGTGGATTCCTGGCAGCCCCAGGCACCCCACTCTTGGTAATAAAATGGCTGCCAACCAGGTCATACCTCTAGTCCTTATAGCCACTCTTCAGGAAAGAGAGTGTCTTGTGGAACTCTTACCCCCTCAGAGGTTCCAATATCTCCTTCCACTGAGTTGTCTTAGATTGCATTGTTTGCTTATTTTGGAAAGACCAGTGCATAGTGACTGGCTTAAGCCAATTACAAGCCATCCTAGGATGAGAGTAGGGGCCAGTTGCACCTAAACCACATGGCTGACCAGGGGGAAGGATGCTTCCCTCAAAACAAAACTGGGGTTATTACCAGGAGAGGAAATGCCCACCAAAAACACTTCATCCTCGTCCCCAGCCCAGGAGTTCCCACCCACCATCCCAAATAGCATAATTTCATGTTTTCTCATCCTTAGCCTTACTCTAGCACACTTTTTTTCCCTTGCTGGTGTTCTGATCTCATTCTCCACTGCTATTCATATAATGACAAGAAGATGAGACAGGGATGGTCACTGAGCCTCAGAGTTTTAAGTTTTCAAACTACTCCCGAATGAAGGGGCTCTTTAATGAATTTGAATACAGCTGGAATTGTCAATGCCTCCCCACAAAAGTTGAGTCACCATGTGCATGAAACTCAGCTTTGAAAACTCACTGCCTGAGGCTGGGCATGGTGGCTCACACCTGTAATCCCAGCACTTTGGGAGGCCAAGGCAGGCGGATCACTTGAGGCCAGGAGTTTGAGTCCAGCCTGGCCAACATGGCAAAACCCTATCTCTACTAAAAATACAACAATTAGCTGGGCATGGTGGTACATGTCTATAATTCCAGTTACTTGGGAGGCTGAGGCACGAGAATTGCTTGAACCTAGGAAGGTTGAGGTGAGCTGAGATCCACCACTGTACTCCTGCCTGGGTGATAGAGTGAGACTTGGTCTCCAGAAAAAAACAAAAACAAAAACAAAAAACAAAAAAAACCTCACTGCCTGTCTGCCTGTAAAACAAGAAAAGTCAACTTTAGAACTTAAAGTCAACTTCAGCTGTTAGACAGCAAACCCTGATGGCATATGGCCTTAACCTTGTTGCACACCAGTTTAGTGTCCCGAAAACAGAAAACATTTTGAATTTTTAATTAAGAATGTGTATATGCTATTACATAAATTAAGCTCATCTTCTGCTACTTATTTCAAATCCACAGATTTCTCCAGAACAAGGGACTTTTGTTTTTAGCTTCTCTGACACACTTTTCTCATGCCCTCTGTTTGAGCTGCAGTGCTTGCTTCTTAAAAACAGATAACTAAAAGATGTAACAATTAGGCATTTGCAAGAAAAGAATACGTCTATATTGATTTCTAGAATTCTTACCACATTTAAAATGGAAACAAATGGACATAATCAGTATTGATAAACATCATCGCAGTTATTTATTTAGTCTTTTAAAAAGTTGAGTGCTTGGCCGGGTGCAGTGGCTCACACCTGTAATCCCAGCACTTAGGGAGGCCAAGGCGGGCAGATCGTGAGGTCAGGAGATTGAGACCATTCTGGCTAACACGGTGAAACCCCATCTCTACTAAAAAAATACAAAAAAAAAAAAAAAATTAGCCAGGCATGGTGGCAGGCGCCTGTTGTCCCAGCTACTCGGGAGGCTGAGGCAGGAGAATGGCGTGAACCCAGGAGGTGGAGCTTGCAGTGAGCGGAGTTTGTGCCAGTGCATTCCAGCCTGGGCGACAGAGCGAGACTCAGTCTCAAAAAAAAAAAAAGTTGAGTGCTCATGGCCAGGCGCGGTGGCTTACGCCTGTAATTTCAGCACTTTGGGAGGCCAAGGTGGGCAAATCACCTGAAGTCAGGAGTTCGAGACCAGCCTGGCCAACATGGTGAAATCCCATTTCTACTAAAAATATAAAAATTAGCTGGGCATGGTGGCAGGCGCCTGTAATCCCAGCCACTCAGGAGGCTGAGGCAAGAAAATCGCTTGAACCCAGGAGGTTGCAGTGAGCCGAGATCGCACCATTGCACTCCAGCCTGGGCAACAAGGGTAAAACTCCGTCTCAAAAAAAAAAAAAAAGAAAGAAAAAGAAAAGTTGAGTGCTCATTTCTGCCACTTCTTCTCAGTTAACCGCACTTGAGGTGGGAGATCTGCCATTTATACTGTGTGGCTATAACTGAGACATAATTACATAATTGCCCACTGGTGACAGCATACTTTAGTTGTAGGCAAAGCATCCAAAGGAAACTAAAAACATCTCAAGTACTAGTTGCACAAAACCTAAACAAAGGACAGTATTACTACTTAAATTTTTGAAGTTTAAGTATCTCAAATCATATATAAATTAGAAATACATGGCGTCTTATGCTTTAACGTTTTGTTCCTTTGTGGAATGTTTTAAATCTTGCCTATCTGATTTCTGTGTTTCAATAATTAGAGGGTAAGGCCTTATTAGAAGACACATAATTGTATGTGTATACAGACACACAGACACACACACACACGATACATATACATATATATGTCATATATTTATACACTCTCTTTTATTGTTTTTTCCCTCTCATATATAACAATTAGAAGTTAACATTTTTTGAAATTTTTTTCTTTTTTCTTTTCTTTTTTTTTTTTGAGACAGGGTCTCTCTGTCGTCCAGGCTGGAGTGCAGCAGCATGATCATAGCTCACTGCAGCCCCCAACTCCTGGGCTCAAGTGAGCCTCCTGCCTCAGCCTCCCGCATAGTTGAGACCTCAGGTGAGTGCCACCATGCTTGACTAATTTTTTAAAAATATTTTTTGTAGAGATGAGGTCTTGCTATGTTACCCAGGCTGGTCTTGAACTCCCAGCCTCAAGCGATCCTCTCACCTCGGCCTCCCAAAGCACTGGGATTACAGGTGTGAGCCATTGTACCCAGCTAAAATGTTTATTTTGGCTAAAGCTGACAAATGAAGAAATGCATCATCTTTAACTTTTAAAAATTTGATTCTTAAAAAATAGACTTATTGACATATAAAGGATGTATAGTAAGCTGCACATATTTAAAATGTTCCATTCATAAGTTTTGACATATGTATGCACCCATGAAACCATCACCAACAATCAAGATAGTGAATATATGCATTGCCCTCAAAACTTTCCTCATGCCCCCTTTGTAAGTGCCCTTATGGCCCCTACTCCCTTCCCAAGCAACCATGATCTGCCTGCCACTATAGATAGAAAGTTTTGTATACAAATGGAATCATCATACAGTGTGTACTTTTTTATGTCTGGCTTCATTCACTCAGCATAATTATTTTGAGATTTATCCATATTGTTTCACATATCAGTAGTTTTATTACTGAGTAAAAGGAATATAGAGCTTTAATAGCTGATCTTAAAATTCATAAAATAGAAGTTTGCTAATTCTATTAATCTTTTTTTTTTTTTTTTTTTTTTTTTTTTTAGACGGAGTCTTGCTCTGTTGCCTAGGCTGGAGTGCAGCAGTGCGATCTTGGCTCACTGCAACCTCCCCATCCCAGGTTCAAGAGCTTTTCCTGCCTCAGGCTCCTGAGTAACTGGGATTACAGGCGTGCCACCACGCCCAGCTAATTTTTGTATTTTTAGTAGAGACAGGGTTACGCCATGCTGGCCAGGCTGGTCTTGAACTCCTGACCTCGTGATTTGCCCGCCTCAGCCTCCCAAAGTGCTGGGATTACAGGCGTGAGCCACCGCGCCTGGCTCTATTTAATCTTTTACTTGAACATAATAACAGAGGGGATTTTTGTCAGAAGTGGTAGTTCTGAAATTCATTAGACATGAGGCCTTATAATTCTGCTGCTCCTCTGGGAGCTACCAGGTTTCCCCGTGACCTTAAGTATCTAGCACAAGGTTGTCCAACTTGAAGCCCATGGGCAGCATGTGTCCCAGGATGGCTTTGAATGGGGCCCAACACAAATTCGTAGACTTTCTTAAAACATTATGAGTTGTTGTTTTTTTTTTTTATAGCTCATCAGCTATCATTAGTGTTCGTGTATTTTATGCGTGGCTCAAGACAATGCTTCTTCTTCCAGTGTGGCCCAGGGAAGCTAAAAGATTGGACACCCCTGCTTTAGCAGTTCAATTAGTTTATATTCATATTACAAATTACATGTGTTAGGAGAAGGTTTGATATTGACTTGAATTGTAGAAACATAGAATTTCTTTTCTTTTCTCTTTTTTTGAGATGGAGTCTCACTCTGTTGCCCAGGCTGGAGTGCAGTGGTGTGATCTTGGCTCACTGCAGCCTCTGTCTCCCGGGTTCAAGTGATTCTCCTGCCTCAGCCTCCTGAGTAGCTGGGATTATAGGCACACACCACCATACCTGGCTAATTTTTTGTATTTTTAGTAGAGACGGGGTTTCATCAGGTTGGCCATGCTGGTCTCGAACTCTTGACCTCAGGTGATTCCCCTGCCTCGGCCTCCCAAAGTGCTGGGATTACAGGTGTGAGCCACCGCGCCCAGCCTCAGACACATAGAATTTCATGACTAGGGTGAGCTTTGGAGATTATCCTGCCTGCCTCTTCATTTTACAGATGAGAAGTTGGAAGCCCAGAGAGTTTAAGGGGTCTGTCCAAGGTCACACAGAACTGGTTTCTTTCAACATTACAGAGAGAATGACAGGGGCTCTAGGTGGAGGATGCAGTCAGATCTCTCCTGAGCTGCATCATTCCTGGCTGCAGACCTCTGAGCCTCTGCTTCATCTTCCTCTGTCCGCTACCAGCAGTTCACCCCCACCAGTGTCCCACCAGCTTCTGTGATGAGGTAGACGACCTTGCTCCACCATAGCAAGCTGATTGCAGCCCTCTGATGCTTGAGAGCAGCTGAGAAACCGAAACTTCAAGAATGATTCTGCCCAGCCAGGTGTGTTGGCTCATGCCTGTAATCCCAGCACTTTGGGAGGCCAAGACAGGTAGATTACTTGAGATCAAGAGCTCGAGACCAGCCTGGCCAACATGGTGAAACCCCGTCTCTACTAAAAATACAAAAATTAGCCGGTGTGGTGGCATGTGCCTGTAATGCCAGCTACTCTGGAGGGCGAGGCAGGAGAATCGCTTGAACCCAGGTGGTGGAGTTTGCAGTGAGCCGAGATCATGCCATTGCACCCAGCCTGGTTGATGGAGTGAGACTTTGTCTCAAAAAAAAAGGCCAGGTGCAGTGGCTCATGCCTGTAATCCCAGCACTTTGGGAGGCTGAGGTGGCTGGATCACGAGGTCAGGAGCTTGAGACTAGCCTGACCAACATGTTGAAACCCCGTCTCTACTAAAAATACAAAAATTAGCTGGGTGTCGTGGCGCGTGCCTGTAATCCCAGCTACTCAGGAAGCCAAGGCAGGAGAATCGCTTGAACCCGGGAGGCGGAGGTTGCAGTGAGCCAATATCGTGCCACTGCACTCCAGCCTGGGCGACAGAGCGAGACTCCATCTCAAAAAAAAGAAAAAAAAAAAAAAGAATGCCTTTGCCCAGCCCAGCTGAGCTACCAAATTTAACGGGTGTGCCTGCTCTCCTAGTTACCTTAGAACAGCCTTCAAGGTGTCTCTTTCCTAAACAGAAACCCAAATGGACAACAGAGCAAAAGATTCTTGCCGAAGCCTAGAGAGGAAAGACTGGGATCCATATTTAAACACTTGGTTTATCCCCCTCTCTTTATTCTTCCTCCCACAATACCTCTGAGGCCAAGAAGGGGCAGCATTGTCCTCCTTCTTCTTCCTGTATGGAACGCTACAGTTCACTAGCCTGGACCTTGATAAATAAAGATAGACGTAAAGGAAGATCCACAGTCCTCTCTTGCTAGAGTAGTGCATGAAAATCCTATTTTTGAGTGTCAGAAGCTGGATTTCCTCTTTGCATTCCTCTGTAACACTTTTAATCTCCCCAGGCAAAAGGATGCCTCAGGAAGACAAGGGTGGAAGTCATGTGTTCTGACAAGCTAAATATAAAAGCACATGAGTAATTTTCAAATGACCAGTATTACCTCCATTTCACTTGTCATCAGAATGTCCTAATTAATACCCACCTACTCAGACTTGCAATAAAACTACAGCTGCCCCAAAGCCAGGCACCTCCATAATTGATCCTCTTTCCACTACAATGGTGGTAATAGCTAACATTTATGAACATTTACTATGTACTATGCAGTTTATTTCGTTTAATTCTCATAACAACCCTATGTTGTAAATACTACTGTTACACCCATTTTACTGATGAGGAAACAGCCTTAGTGAGGTGACCTGCTCAAGGTTACATACGTAGTAAGTGATAGAGGAGGAATCTGAAGCTTGGTTTTCAGCTTCTAGCTGCTTCCTTCCTAGTTTTTACCTACTAGTCTCCACTGCTTCCCATTTGATCACCATATACACAATGGTTAGGTCTTTAGACTGAACCAACCAATTTAACCCAACTGGAGTAGAAGCAGTTTTTCCAAGATCTTTCCTACCAACTGAAGTTAATTGAAATGTACAATAAAATCTGAGAGGATGTGTTTATGTCAAAACTACAGTTGGCTAACTTAGAAGTTATTGCTTCTAGAAATCTTGGCAGTAGTGATAGTTTAATTACCTTAAGTGAAGATACTAGCTTAAAAACAGGACAGGTGTGGTGGCTCACGCCTGTAATCCCAGCACTTTGGGAGGTTGAGGCAGGTGGATCACCTGAGGTCAGGAGTTTGAGAGCAGCCTGACCAACATGGCAAAACCCCATCTCTACCAAAAATACAAAAATCATCTGGGTGTGGTGGTGGGCACCTGTAATCCCAACTACTTGGGAGGCTGAGGCAGGAGAATAGCTTAAACCTGGGAGGCAGAGGTTGCAGTGAGCCAAGATCACGCCATTGCACTCCAGCATGGGTGACAGAGCAAGACTCCATCTCAAAAGCAAAAAACAAAAAACAAAAACAACAGGCAATGCTTCAATAAGAACAATGCAATGTACCTTGGCTTTAAAGCCAAAGCATGTTGCAATTAAGTTATAGATTAATAAATCATTGTTCTAACCTTTATTTTCCCTTTGCCCTAATTCTTCATCTGTACTTTATCCTTTTATATGGAATGATTTTTTAAAGCTTCTGCAAATACTGTTGGGAATGAAGTAGGAAGAGTTAGTAAATGAATGAATGAGTGCATGAATCACTGCATTGAAAAGGTTAAATAATAACAACTAAATTTTGTATGCCACTTTGTAGTCTTGTACACATTCTTTACCATTAACTGTGAACTTTTCAGAGACCAATTCTGCACTTATCTTTGTGTCACCAGGATCTGACACAATTCATTCATTCAATAAATATGTTTGGAACTTCAGAAAAAATGATAGTACAAAGAGCTTGTCTTCAAAGCGCTTATAATGCACCGGATAGTGCCAGGTCTATTGGAAGAACTCGGTGAATATTCACGAAATAAATCTCTCTTCATCTCCACAAAAGAACCTTGTGTGAAAAATCATTTCTAGTTTTAAGAAAGATGTAGAGAAACCATATGTCCTGTTCGTGGTGGCATATTGGAAAGAGAGATGGCCAGATATTCGAATCCAGGTATTTGGACCCCAAAGTCCTTGCTCTTTCTACCACATTAACAAAAACCACACAAGGCAGGTGGACACAGGTTTTTTCCATCTGTCTAGCATTTCTGTGGGTACCCACCAAGGTGCCGAGGGAGGATGCAGGTGAAGCACACCTTCCCAATCAGAGGCCTGCATGCTCCTGGGCATGAAATATCCAGAAATGTGCACATTACTCATGCCAAGCCAATAGCAATAACTGTCTTCCCCCAAACTTGGCATCTTTAAACAAGGATGCATTATTTCTTGTGATTCTGTGGGTTGACAGGGTGTTCTTCTACCCTGTGTGGCGTTGGCTGGATTTACTCACAGCTGCATTCTGCTGTCAGCTGGGCTGAGCTGAAAGGTCCAGGACCCTAGTAATGACTGTCTGCTGAGGTGCCTCGATTTTCCTTCATGGGCCTCCTTCCATGTGGCATCTCATCCTTCAGGGCCTCTCTGTGGGGCCTCCATCCAGTGACATAGCCTGGACTTCTTTACAGCATGGCAGTTGGGTTCCTAGACAGCAAAGCAAAGGCTGTTTGTCTTTCAAAGGCCTGGGTTCAGAAGTTCCAGAATGCGTGTTGGTCAAAGAAACCATCTCAGGTTCAGGAGGAAAGGAAATAAACTCCACCTCTTGACGGGAGAAGTGGCATGCTCACACAACAAAGCGAAGAACTGTTCATGGGAATCTACCCCGGAGCCCTCTCCATGACAATTATAACACCCATTTTCCTGGGAATCACAGAGGCTAAGAATCACACACACCCAGAGCTGCTAGGGCCATCTTTGCAGCCCGGGGACAAAGCCTGCTTGAGGACGAAGCCATTCCAGAGGAAAGCAGAGCCAAGAGGTGGAGAAAAAATGGTGAAACTCAGTTTTCCACTCAGGTGGAACACAGAGGCGGCAGAGCTAGTGATTAAGAGTATAAGATTTGGAGTGATATGGCCCTTAGCTCCCATCCTGGCTAATTATTAGCCATGTGACTTTGGGAAAGTTATATAATATCTCCAAGCCTCAGACCTATCATCTGTACACTGTGGATGAAAATAGTACCTGCCTCCATAGGATTGTTGTGAGGATTAAGTGTGATAACTTTTGTAATGAGCTTAGCAAAGTGCTGGGCATAGTCTAAGCTCCAGTAAATGATTGTTGCATATACTGAGATAAATTTAGAACCTCTTTCCCACAGACATTCTCCTTCCTGCGCTGGACCTCAAAGGTCCCAATCCAAGTAGAAACTTGGAAAATCTTTAATGTATAGCAGGAGATATTGTATGCCAGAAATCTTGTAATTAACATATTCTTTTTTAAAAAAACGTTTTAATCTCTTAAAATTTTGGTAGAGACAGGGTCTTGTTATGTTGCCCAGGCTGGTCTTGAACTCCTGGCCTCAAGCAATCCTCCCACCTTGGCCTCCTGAAGTGTTGGGATTACAGATGTGAGCCACTACACTGGACCAGTTAACACATTCTTTTTCTTTTTTTTCTTTTCCAGACAGGGTCTCACTCTATCACCCAGGCTAGTGTGTAGTGGCACCATCTTGGCTCACTGCAACCTCTACGTCCTGGGTGCAAGTGATCCTCCCACCTCAGCCTCCCAAGTAGCTGGGACCATAGGCACACACCATCATGCCTAGCTAATTTTTTTTTTTTGTATTTTTTTGTAGAGATGGAGTCTCATCATGTTGCCCAGGCTGGAACACATTCTTATTTCTACTTTAAATATATGAAGCCAAAAATAACCAATGCCTGACTTTAATTGTGGGAAAAGAACAGTCAGTAGATTTTATGCTATTCTTAGGAAATGTAAGCTCTACACCAGGCAACTTTGATAGACGGAAGGACAATGCTCCATTTCCACAGGCAAGAAAGTGGCACCATATGCACCTGTTACATTTCATTTATTCCCATAAAGCTGAGTCCAAATTGTACACAGTTACTCCTTAGAGGTCATACAGATCCAAGTTTCAGGTCTCCTTGATAAGCTAAAGGTCACTGTTACTTCATCATGAATGTATGACATTATATTAGTCCATTTTCACACTGCTAAAAAGAAATACCGAAGACTGGATAATTTATAAAGGAAAGAGGCTTAATTGACTCGCTGTTCCACATGTCTGGGGAGGCCTCAGGAAACTTACAGTCATGGCGGAAGGTGAAGAGGATGCAAGCACCTCCTTCACAAGGTGGCAGGAAAGAGAAGAGCAAAGGAGCGACTTCCAAACATTTATAAAACATCAGATCTTGTGAGAACTCACTCACTGTCATGAGAACAGCATGGGAGAAACCACCTCCATGATCCAGTCACCACCTTCCCTCGACATGTGGGGATTACAAATCGAGATGCAATTTGGGTGGGCACACAGAGCCAAACCATATCAGACATGGAATACTTTCATCTTTTATGCATGACACGTTTATGCATCTCTGTCAATTTGTAAAGTGACTACATGTTTCTTTTGTTCTTTACTGGAATCATAGCCCAAGTCTGTGTTTGTACCTAGCAGATTATTCTGTGAATCTCAGGGGTCAATCTTGCACCATTCTGTCTATCTCTTTTATTGTGGTAAACTATACATAACATAATTTACCATCAGTAACATCTAGTATATTCACCATGTTGTATAACCATCACCTCTATCTAGTTCCAGAATACATTTTCTCTTAATTATCCTTCTGCCTGCACCCCCCACCCAGTTCTCCTTCTTTACCAAGCGTTAGAACCAAGTTCCTTGATTACCTCAGTTTATAGACTGGCCAGAGAGGGAACTAAAACAGATTACTTGAAGCCATGTGACCTAATCGGACTGGTTTGACAAGGCTGATGGCATCTGTTATGACTGCCAGCAGAGGACAGGGCTCTGCTGCCTGGAAGCACCATATGGCAGCACCTGTTTGCAAAGGGACTGGCCCACAAAGCACCAATTTTGTCTTTGGCTAATTGAGTGATTCGTATCATCTTTCCTGACATTACTCTGGAATTTTTAAAAAGTCAATATTTGGTAAAATACATTGTTGTTTTTCGATGACTGATAATCTTTGTAGAACCATGCTATAATTATTAGCAGTGTTTGCAGAAAACAATCAACATTCATTAAGCGTTTCATCTGGTGAGCACCGAGCTGCTAACTGATTTCTTTCTTTTGAGATGGGGTCTTTCTGTCTTGCCCAGGCTGGTCTTGAACTCCTGGACTCAAGCTATCCTCCTGCCCCAGCCTCCCCCACAGCTGAGATTACAGGCACGTGCCACTGAGCCCGGCTTGATTTCTTTTTTTATTATTTTTTTTTTTTGTCTGTCTCACTCTGTCACCTAGGCTGGAGTGCAATGGCACGATCTCAGCTCATTGCAACCTGCAACTCCAGGTTCAAGTGATTCTCCTGCCTCAGCCTCCAAAGTAGCTGGGATTATAGGCACACACCGCCATGCCCGGCTAAATTTTTTTTGCATTTTAGTAGAGACAGGATTTCATCGTGTTGCGCAGGCTGGCTTCGAACTCCTGAGCTCAGGCAATCCACCTGCCTCGGCCTCCCAGAGTGCTGGGATTACAGATGTGAGCCACCGTGCCTGGCCCTTGATTTCTTTTTCTTTTTTTCCACATAGACTTCTGTGTGCTACAGAGAACCCAGCTTGATTTATTACCATCCCAGTGGAGGAGGCCCCTTCATTAGCCTCATCTTACAGATGAAAAAAAAAATGAAGGCTCAACTTTTCTAAGAACATCTTAGCTACTGTGTTTTAGAGTCAGGATTCGAAATCTGGTCTGTTTGACCCTAGAGCCCAAGCTCTTAACTAATGGCAAATGTAACCATTTTTATTCCACAACAGAAAGCCAAACGTAACAGATATGTGAGAAATGCAGTCTGAGACTCAAGAGGAAAAGGCATCGTCAAATAAGCTGCCTGAACAAGTGAAACAGACCCTACAGAATGGCGAACTAACATTTCTTTTTGTTTTGTTTTGTTTTGTTTTGAGACAGAGTCTCACTCTGTTGCCCATTCTGGAGTGCAGTGGCACAATCTTGGCTCACTGCAACCTCCACCTCCCAGGTTCAGGCAGTTCTCCTGCCTCAGCCACCCAAGTAGCTGGGATTACAGGAGCCTGCCACCATGCCTGGCTAATTTTTGTATTTTTAGTAGAGATGGAGTTTCACCATGTTTGGCCAGGCTGGTCTCAAACTCTACTCAAACTCAAACTCAAACTCTACTCTCAAACTCTACTCAAACTCAAACTCACATGATCTGCCTGCCTGGGCCTCCGAAAGTGCTGTGATTACAGGTGTGAGCCACCGCGCTGACCACAAAGGAACATTTCTTCTTCTTCTTTTTTTTTTTTTTTTGAGACAGAGTCTCGCTCTGTCACCCAGGCTTGAGTGCAGTGGTGTGATCTCGGCTCACTGCAACCTCCACCTCCTGGATTTGAATGATTCTCCTGCCTCAGCCTCCCGAGTAGCTGGGATTACAGGCATGCACCACCACACCCAGCTAATTTTTGTATTTTTAGTAGAGGCAGGGTTTCTCCATGTTGCCCAGGCTGGTTTCAAACTCCTGAGCTCGGGTGATCCACCTGCCTTGGCCTCTCAAAGTGCTGGGATTACAGGTGGCAGCCACCGAACCTGGCCCCTTTTTCATTCCTGATATTGTTTATATCTTTTTGATGTATCTCACTAGAGGATTATCTAGTATGTTAATCTTTTCAAGTAAACAAGCTTTTGGTGTTGTTGTTGATACTCTTTCTTATTTATGTTCTATTTTGTTAATTTCTGTGCCTATCTTTCATCTTTCTTTCTTTCCTTTTCTTTTTTGGCATACACTCTGTGGTTTTTTCCAACATCTTTAATTGCATGATAAATTAATTTTAATATTTTTTCCCCAAATATATGCATTTAAGGTTATAAATTTCTCTTCAAAAACTACTTTAGGCTGGGCACAGTGGCTCATTCCTGTAATCCCAGCACTTTGGGAGGCTGAGGTGGGCGGTTTACAAGGTCAAGAGATCGAGACCATCCTGGACAACATGGTGAAACCCCATCTCTACTAAAAATACAAAAATTACCCAGGTGTGGTGCTGTGCACCTGTAGTCCCAGCTCCTCAGGAGGCTGAGGCAGGAGAATCACCTGAACCCAGGAGGCAGAGGTTGCAGTGCCACTGCACTCCAGCCTGGCCACAGAACAAGCTTCTGTCTCAAAAAACAAACAAACAAACAAAAAAACAAAAAAAACTACTTTATCTGTTTTGATATATAGTGCTTTGGTTGTCATTTAGTCATAAATAGTTAATAAGTTTCCTAATAATTTCTTAATTGATGTATTTATTTAGAAAAGTGTTTTAAATTTTCTAACTATATTGGGAGTATAGTTAGAAAAAAAACTGACTCCTTGTGCACCTTACATTCCCCAGTGTGCTTACACAATGTCATTATTACTCTAAAGGTGTGACAAATGACAGGCAATGTGCTGAGAGGAGATTAATGATATATAGGAGATCACTCTCTCTTTCCCTATGTAAGATGGTTATTATACAAAGAGAACCATCCTTCAGATTTCTTATTTGAAATTTCAGTTTATAGGTTCACCCGTCTATCCTTTGACATGGGACAGTTTTATAGCTAATGCAGGAATTGTAATTGCACAAATTTCTAGTCTACTGCTTCAGCCTTCCAATCACGTTTCTTACTAATAAGGTTGAGATCCCAAGTGAAACAGTTTGTGGACAGCTCACCACCACCTATTGTTATTCTAAGAAAGCTAACAAAGCCCATTGAAGATGAAGAGTATCACATTGTCATCTCTGTTCATGAAAGACAGACCAATTTTCACATGGGAAACAAAGAATGTATTTGAGGACAAAATGTTGGTGAAATAGTTTGGCTGAGTGAATGTTCCTGCAGCAACGATTATTGCCTCATCACCCAAAGGTGAAAGAACAGGGGAAAAATGGCACAGATTACATCCACCAGGTAACAGATGAGAGAAAGAAGAATATAGTTCAAAAGTTAGCAAGTACCCATATAGTCTTCTGTAGACCCTGTAAAAGGATTATTGCAATCATAT